>NC_000013.11:85744457-85897297 GCF_000001405.40 Homo sapiens
ATTATTGTTGGACATTTGGGTTGGTTCCAAGTCTTTGCTATTGTGAATAGTTCCACAATAAACATATGTGTGCATGTGTCTTTATAGCAGCATGATTTATAATCCTTTGGGTATATACCCAGTAATGGGATTGCTGGGTCAAATGGTATTTCTAGTTCTAGATCCCTGAGGAATCACCACACTGACTTCCACAAGGGTTGAACTAGTTTACAGTCCCACCAACAGTGTAAACAGTTTTGTTAATTATGTTTTAACACCTTTCAACAGCTTGTGTCCTTCCTGTATTGACTATTCAGGATCTCTGATTCCTTTCTTTGTACTCTGTAATTCTGAAACACTAATAGTTTCTACTGTAAAAGTTGCTTTTTTTCCCCCATAGTTTTAATTTAGGCTGTGAAAAATATCTGGCAGGATAGTGGATGCTGTCCCCAAATCATTAATTAGGCAGGTGAGGCTTCAGATATATATATATATATATATATCGTTATATATATATATATATCGTTATATATAATATATCGTTATATATATATCATTATATATGTATATAGATATATATATCGTTATATATATACATATCATTATATATATCGTTATATATATCGTTATAAATATATATATATCGTTATAAATATATATATAAATGTGCAGGAACGATATGTGTATATATATCTATATCTATATATATCGTTATATATCATTCCTGCACATTTTCAGTTGATCAGCAGATTGGAGAAGAAACAGAAACTCTGGTAATGGGAATGTATAAAACTTCACATTCTGACAAGGCAAACCTCCTGGGGATATTATATGTGTTCAGAGAGGCTTCACAGTAATTCACTGGCTTTTCTTCTGAACCTGGGGAATTAATTCCCTTTCATCTCCTCTGTTGCCATCAGTCTTTCTTCTCTCCAGGTCCAAGCACACACACAAAAATTAACATTCCATACTTTCCTCTTTTCTCACCTGTCCCTAAGGCAAGCATGCAGCCCTTCTGTGGTTTTTGTATGTTGTCTGTTAGAGCCAATTATTTTGGAAAAGTCCAGGAAGTGAGAACAAAAACAAAAAAGAATAAATTTTTTTAAGTCTCATAATAAAAACTGCCTTTGATTTCATTTGAATTCAGTGAATACAGTTTCTGTCACATCATTACTCATTCAGTGCCCCTTAAACTATTTTTCTTCCCAGGATTCTGGGTCATTATTTCCCTGGATAGGTAACCCTACACTTTATTATTGGTGTCTTTTCCCCTCTCTGTGTTGGATGCCATGAGGCAATGCTCAGATTTCTCTTCAGGAATGAAGATCTTGTTGTCTCAACTGCTCAAAATGTTGTCACTAAGTTATCTTCAGTTTCCAGTTCTCTTCTGAAATGTCTCAGCTAAAAAGAGGTGTCTCCCAAGTCCCCCTTCCCAGAGTAGCCCACAACCAATAATTGACCAATGTGCCTATAAAGCCCAGGCCATCTAGATGAAAATCATAACTCTGAAGTGTCATTCCTTTCCAGAGACCCCTAAGAGGTCAGCCAAGGTCATGGCTGGGATTGCATCACATCTGAACTTCTCCCTCTATCCAAGCCTGCTTCTCTTCCTTCCCTGCCATAGGTGTTGATACCCAGGGTCCTTCCTAATTAAACTGCTGCAGAAGCACTTCCTAATAATCGTGTCTCTGAGTCAGCTGCCAGTAGAACCCAACCTGAGACAGCTATGTAGACCCAATACCTCTAAAATATTGTGCAGATAAACATAACTGGCATTTTTATATGTGAAGAACTAAATTAAGAATTATTGTCCAAAAGACCACAGGGATGGCTAATTTAGGATGAATAAGGTAGAAAAGAGAGCTGTATTGGTGATAGCACTTTGCAAGTCAGGAAAAGAAAGTCTCCCATTTGTGGAGGGGAGGGACAGATCATGTTTACACCTCACAGCGTCCATATTACACAACAGAGTCGTATATATTCATCAGATTTGGGGGAAAAGCTATACATATGTATGAAGGAAGCTGAGCACATACACAATGGGTAAACCTACATATAACATCTATCCATCCTGTGTTCCCTTTGGGGTGAGGTTTTAGCATTAAAATGAAGTGGAATTTGGCTCTTTACATCAAAAAGTGAACTACAGAACAGACAGTTTGTGCACAGTCTCTATAAGCTGGATGAAACTGACTTACGGTCTGCAGTAGTTTATCAGGTAAGAAAGTTTGTAAGGCTGGTCCTCTGTCCAGTCAGAGTTGAAGCGGTCTGGGTTGTAAAACAGATTTAGGAGAGCTCTAATAGCTCCTATAGTTAAGGAATTTAGAGCAATAATAATTTAGATTTGCCAGTGGAGCCCTGAACCCTGGACCTGTAAAAAACTTTGTCTCCTTAGCCTTAGGGTCCATCTTAGTTATACAGTCGTGTCTATTTTGGTCTCTTAGATCACAGAATAATCTGTATTTCATAAAACGATTCAAGTCTTCCATTTTTTCCCCCTCATTTTCATTTAAAAACGATGGCTCTTGGGCATGTACCATGGATATTGCATTAAGATTCTGAGTTGGGCGACAAAACGGATTATTCAGAGGGGTTGGAAAAGAGCAGAAAGTGCAGGTTAGAAAGAAGAAAGCCATGGGCGAGAGAACGTGTTGACAGGAGATAGCATAGTAAAGGAAATTTAATTTTCTTTTTTTCCAATTTATCTCTCTCTATTGTAATCCATGCCATTACTACAGAGTTATTACTCAGATCAGTCTTAGAAAAAGGTGAAAATAGATTTTCCATCAATGATTTGGAGCTTAGGAGATGGAATAGAGAGGAGACAGAATCTTAGTAGCAGAAGCAACAGTCAAAGCAGTAAACTAAATAAAATTCTTGTGCTCATTGGCCTAAATGAAGCAGTAAAGGAAATGTGTGCATTCTGACATATCCGTTGGAGCAGATTGGAGTGACATAGATTTTTTTATCTGCAAAAATGGCCCCATTGTACCATTTATTCATAAGTAAAATCAAACTTCGAGTATACCTTTTTGTGTGTGTGTTTATTAAAAAGACATGAGCAGTCTCATAAAGTAACATCTGAATATTGATAGGTAATCAATATTTTGAGTTTGGATTTCTGCTAAATAAATTTACCAGGTTTGGCAGTATTCACTAGCTTGAAGTTCTGAGATAAGGTAAAGGCAGTGGAATGTCCTCTCTTTATGATGGAGTCATTGTTTTTCATAGATATTATTTCATCCTCCTCTCTATTTACGACCACTCACCACACTATCAGTTTTATCATGTAGTGGGCTAATTAGTTACTATTTGTATTTGTACTTAGCTGGCACACTGGGATTTTTCTATACTGAGACAATTAATTGATGTTTTTTAGATCAAATAATTTCTGTATTCCACAGAATCCAAAAGACAAGACTAAAAACAATGACAACAACAAACTTCTAACAATGGTGTAGTAATAATATGGTGAGTTAGTGTATTGAATTGCTAGAACAAAATACTACAAGTTGAATAGCTTATAAACAACAGAACTTGATTTCTCACTGTTTGGGAAGCTGAAAAATCCAAGATCAAGGTGCCAGCAGATTTTATGTTTGGTGAGGGCTCTACTCTTCTGGTTCATAGATTGTGCCGCCTTGCTGCATTCTCAAAGGATGAAAAGAGGAAGGCAGTTGTTTGGGGCCTTTAAAATAAGGACACTAACCTCATTCATGAGGGCTGTACCTTCATGACCTAATGACACCCTACCTCCTAACACAACCACAAAGGTGATTAGGTTTCAACATGTAAGTTTGAGGGGACATAAACATTTTGACCATAACATATGGCTATAGGCCTGTTTGGCCTCTGAATGTCTCTCTGAAATTGTATCTCAGAGTTTTTCTCTTAACTAATTTCTTCAGCCACATTATCCTTCTTATAGTTCCTCAGAAACAATGCTCCACGTTTTCTACTGCTGTTTCTCTTACGTCTGTGCACAAAACTCTTCTTCCAAATCTACGTATTATTTGTATTTTTCACTTTATCCGTATTTCTGTTATCACTTAAGAGAAGATTTCTCTAACCATCACCTCCAATTTACTTTTATTCTGTTACCCCTTACTTTCTTAAAAGTTACAGGACTTATCATGATATGCAATGCTTATTGTCATTTGCCCCTACTAGATTCACGAGCAAAGGTACTTTTATCATATTCACTACTCCACGCTCAGTGCCTGGCACATGTAAGTCAGTCAATGAGGATTCTCCAAGGAAACAGAACTAATTATGTAAAAAACATATATACACACGTATATATGTATACACACACATATAGATATATGTGTGTGTGTGTATATATATATATATATATTCACTTCATCCTTTTTGTATATATACAATTGAGTTTGAATGGAGATCCTGTGTCTTGGTAAGCCACAATAAATACGTCAGCTTTTATTCTAAGAAGGAAAGGCATTTAAATATATATATCATGAAAGAAAGAGATAAAAAAGACTGTAATGAATTGGTTCACACAATTATGGCAGATGACAAGTTTATGATCTCGAGAGAAGGCTAGCAGGCTGGAAACTGAAGGAAGAAATAATGATGCAATCTTGAGTCTGAAATCTGAGGGCTGGAAACTCAGGTAGGGTTACTGTGTTGTAGTCTTGAGGCATAATTGCTTCTTCTATGGTAAACCATACATAGCCTTGGCTCTCGAGGCCTTCAACTGATGAACTAAGGCCCACACACATGATGAAGAGTAGGCTGCTTTACTTAGTCTATTGATTTAAATTGTAATCACATTAAAAAATATCATCACAGAAACATCAGACTGGTGTTTGACCAAACAACTGGGCACCATTACCTATCCAAGTTGACGCATAAAATTAACCTATACAATAAGTATTTGATTAAGTATTGTATTAGTCAATGTTCTCTAGAAGGGCAGAACCAATAGGATTTATGTATATATGAAAGGGAGTTTATTAGGAGAATGGACTCACATGATGACAAGGTGAAATCCTACGATAGGTCATCTGCAAGCTGAGGAGCAAGGAAGCCAGTCAAGTCCAAAAACCTTAAAAGTAGGGAAGCTGATAGTGCAGCCTTCAGTCTGTGGCCAAAGGCCCAAGAACCCCTGGCAAATCACTAGTTTAAGTCCAAGAGTCCAAAAGCTGAAGAACTTGGAGTCCGATGTTCGATGGTAGGAAGCATCCAACACAGGAGAAAGATGAAGGCCAGAAGACTCCGCAAGTCTGGTCTTCCATCCTCTCTTGCCTGCTTTATTCTAGCTGTGCTGGCAGATGATTAGATGGCACCCACCCAGATTGAGGATGGATCTGCCCCTCCCAGTCCACTGACTCAAATGTTGATCTCCTTTGGCAACACCCTCACAGACCAGGAAGGATACTTTGCATCCTTCAATCCAATCAAGTTGACATTCAATATTATCCATTACAAGTATTTAATCTTCGTGTTTAATTAATTAACATAGTAAATGATCACCTCATTTCCTGTGCTCTATTTTCATGTCAGAGCATACAGGTAATGCAGTTGGTACCAGCATTCAGGCCCCAGTGGGAGATCTAAATCTTGAAATACTCTCCCAAATTCACGTGTTTGTTTATCATATTGATTTGTGGCGAACTTTAGGCAAAGCTTAATAATCATTTGGATAATATGTTTATTATGTAAATTGCCTGTAATTATTTGAAGATCTTGCATTTTGGATATTATGATGAGCAAGCTTAGCTTAGTGATTTCAATGTCAAAACGTTTAGTTACTTCAGATTTTCGTTAAAAAAAGCTAAATCGTGTGTCAATATTCCATGCAGAATTGATTTAAAAATTACTGTTCTATTCTATGCTTATAAATGTTACATATAATTTATACTCCTTATTTATTGCTTAAGGGAATATAATGTTAATCTTGAGTTTAGCAACTTTGGAGGAACAAGCAATTTGAATTTCTTTTTAATACTATTAGTCTGAAAATTACAATTGGATAATAAACAGCATTATTTGGTGATTACAAAAAAATAAGCTTTTCTATAAGCATATTTAAGTTAAAATTGAGGTAATAAGTAAGGTTTATAAATTTCAAATGTAATTAAAACAAATATTTATAAACCAAGCAATTTTAGCAACATTTTGCTATTTGAAAAAAACTCTCTGACATTAACAACACTGAATAGACAATCGAAATTAAAAACAGAGATTGAAAGTATATCACAAACATTTTGGGTATGTATGCCTTTAAAAATTAATGTAGGTTTTGTATCATATGTATTCTGATACACATGATACAACCTGTGTCATACAACCTGTATGAGTATCCCTTTGCATAAAATCACATTTAATAAGTCATTTGATTGATAAATATTTTTTCTAAGTATTAACTCAAATTTTGAGGTTCAAAACAGAGAAGCCAATAAACAAAAACAACACTTACATTGGAAACAATTAGATCAGGTTGAATACACCTAAAAATTATTTACTATTTCACTGAAAATTATGTCATAAAACGAAACTGGTAAAACATTCATGGCAGTTCCTTGCCAAGGAAACATAGTGGCAAATAAATAGTATGATTACTTTTCTGAATGAGGGTACAAAATATTAGGTAACCAGTATGATTTGGTTTTGAGTAAATTGAAACATATGCATTTATGTATGCATTTGGCTTGTGTGAAAATGAAAATGAAATTGAACGGGAATATTGATTTGTTCCATGATGTGTCAGGTGACCTGAGGAAAATGGCTATGATGAAAATAGTTATTCAACCTTATTATGCTGAAAAATGCTTTACAGTCACTTTATACAGCATCTGGGAAACAACAGCAACTTTAAACCTCTTCTCTTTATTTTAATACTAATGAATTTATTACCTGCATAATAAAAATCTAAATTACTGAAAAAAACAGGATTACAGGTCATGAGATTGCCCAACATCTCATGAATTTGAAGCTATTATAAAAAATATGGAAAGGGCCAGGCACGGTGGCTCACGCCTGTAATCCCAGCACTTTGGAGGCCAAGGCGGGTGGATCACCTGAGGGCAGGAATTTGAGACCAGCCTGGCCAACATGGTGAAACCCATTCTCTACTAAAAATACCAAAAATTAGCTAGGCATAGTGGCGGGTGCCTGTAATCCCAGCTACTCAGGAGGCTGAGAAAGGAGAATTGCTTGAACCCAAGAGGCGGAGGTTACAGTGATCCGAGATCGCGCCACTGCACTCCAGCCTGGGCAAGAAGAGCGAAACTCCGTCTAAATAAATAAATAAATAAATAAATATATATATATATATATATATATATATATATATATATATATGGATAAAGGGCTTTCTTACAAGTAAGTTAGTAATATCACATTGTTACCTTACCTCCCAACAAATGTCAACAGAAGAATACTAATACATACATATAAACACAGTTAAGTCCTTCAAGAGTTTTTTATTCCATAAACACACATCTAAACGTTGTTGTACCTTTATCCCATCATTTGACTATTGCTAATCTAAAATACAATCTTGGTTTTACTCTCAGACATGGCTATTACTATAAAGGAGTGATGAGTACTTTGCACTTTTATAACTAGTCTGACATAGCTTATACCACTTCTTGTTCACTTTGATGAGGTTACCTGGCAACTTGAAAGTATTAATAGAGTTGAATTACAGATGGTTCTTTTCAATTTTGATCCTCAGTTGATTCTATGAGCAAAGCCACATAAAAGTGTATGCTTTAACAATATAAGTAAATATAATAATATAATGTGATAAATAAAATGACATCCTTTTAAGTTCTTTGTAATGCATGTTCTTTGTAAGTATAAAAAGAAAGTCCAATCTTTACCACCCTTTCTCTTGCCCTTTCCTATATAAAATACACCCTAAAGTCATTACCAAGCTTAACAACTTGTATTCTTCTAGATACTTTTGGTGTATACATGTGTTTTTTAAGTTAATTTGTTTTTTTTTTTTTGGTGGGGGGGTACGGAGTCTCGCTCTGTCACCCAGGCTGGAATGCAGTGATGCGATCTTGGCTCACTGCAGCCTCCACCTCCCAGGTCCAAGTGATTCTCCTGCCTCAGCCTCCTGAGTAGCTGGGATTACAGAGGCACGCCACCACGCCCAGCTAATTTTTGTATTTTTAGTAGAGACAGGATTTCACCATGTTGTTCAGGCTGGTCTCGAACTCCTGACCTCATGATCTGCCTGCCTTGGCCTCCCAAGGTGGTGGGATTACAGGCATGAGCCACGGCGCCCAGTCAAGTTAAATTTATTTCACACAGTAATACACTATTTTAATCAATGATATATCACATATATTTATGTCATATATACAGACTTTATTCTTTAGTTATTTCAGAGTAACTGCATAGAGTGTATGTCCAATGATTTATTTTATTCCTCTTGTGAAGAATACTTAAGTTGACTCCAATCAGCATAGCTGATTTTTGTGTTTTGTTTGCTTGGGATGTGAGTGTGTGTGTGTCTGTCTGTGTACAGTCTTGCATACACACAGAAATTGACCCTTCTGGTCTTAAAGCTTGCAGCTTACATTTGTCTTATCTGAGTTCCTTCCTCAGTAAAGGTCCCCCAGGCCTCTCAAAAAGTATCAAAGAAACTCACCAGATCACCACCTACAGACGGTGAGACACCAGTCCCCTCATTCATTATGATTGCTTCCTTAGGCATTGGGAGCTCCTGTTATCCTATACATTGTTACATTTTTTTCCCTGCTATATAAACCCCTGATTTTAGCCTATCAGGGAGATGGATTTGAGACTGGTCTTCCATCTCCTTGGCTGCAGCCCCTGATTAAAGCCTTCTTCCTTGGCAATAATCATTGTCTCAGTGATTGGCTTTCTGTGGAGCAAGCAGCAGACCAAATCTTTGGTGTTTCCGTAATACTGTGACCCCATACAAGTCTTCTATTTTTAGGAAGATGTTGGGAACCTAATGAAAGACAAATGAATCAATGTGTTGTGTCTTGTAACTATCTTACCTCATCCCACCTCATAGCAGGAAAACTAGCATTCTAATGACTGACGTAATTACCTTGTAATGAAATCCTATTTTTAAGGGACAGATCATTAAAGTTCTCTTCTATATTTTATACCAACTTTATTTTACTGGTAGCATATCTGCTCTTTAGTAAGAAAATATATTTTGGATTTTTATTATACATTGTTTTTCAGATATATGTGATTTCTGATGACAAGCTTTAAAAACCCAGGATACAATTTGCTTAGGTCTCCAATTGTAATAAAAGGATTTTTTTCAGATATTGATCTAATTCTCACATAAATGAATTAAACATAAACTGATCCAAAATGTACCTGTATTTATTATTCCCTTTGAATGTAGAGCAATACTGTCTTATTGGGTGAATAATTAATCTCACAATAGCATTACTTGATTTCATTCTTCTTGTTACCCTCACACCATAATTTATTAATTTGGAAATTTGAACATCCTAATTGGAAAGAATCTTCACCTGGAATACTCTAATACTCAAGAAAAGAAAAGAGTATATTTCCTTGGTTAATTCCACTAGGAATGAATAAAAAAGCAACAGCAACAACAAAAAATAAAACATAGTAGCTAATGTAAATTGTGCACTCACAATCTGCCTGTCACTGTCCTGAAGGATTTCCTTGTATTCACTCACATAATCCTTGTAACAACCTTGTCATTCTTCCCATTTTATAAATGAGAAATTGAGGTGTGAGGATGAGATGTTAAATGATTTACTAGGATCACAAAAATAGTAAAAGGCAGAATTTTGATTCAAGATGAGTCAGGAGACTCCACATTCTTTAGTCTTAATCTAAATGAGATTGAATTTCACCATATTTATTTATACACAAAATCTTATAATGAAGAGTTGCACCATATGATACAAAACTGGAATACATAATATTCTTATATCTATCTTGTAGACTCATAGCCTAAATTACAATTACCCATTTTCCATTACAAGGTCTCACTCTGTTGCTCAGGCTGGAGTGCAGTGGCACAATCCTGGCTCAGTGCAGCTTCAAACTCCTGGGTTCAAGTGATCCTCCTGTCTTGGCCTCCCAAAGTGCTGGAATTATAGGCATGAGCCACTGCACCCAGCCAGCCCTGAGAGATATCTTTTTTATTATTAGTTTTTGAGACAGTCTTGCTTTGTTGCCTAGGCTGGAGTGTAGTGGTGTGATCTTGGCTCACTGCAACCTCTGCCTCCAGGGTTCAAGCTATTCTCCTGCCTCAGCCTCTTAAGCAGCTGGGATTACAGGTGCCCACCACCACACCCTGCTAATTTTTGTATTTTTGGTAGAGACTGGTTTCACCATGTTGGCCAGGCTGGTCTCGAACTTCTGACCTCAAATGATCTGCCTGCCTAGGCCTCCCAAAGTGCTGGAATTACAGGCGTGAGCCACCGCACCTGGCCTCCTGAGAGATATCTTAGTGGACATTTATACTTATCAATATGCACATGAGATGCAGGATATATAAAGTAAAATAAATTCTAACTACTGATGATGTTTAAAATCTTCACATTGATTTATTTCCTCTTTTATTATAATTAATAAATTTTTATTAGGTATAGTTTAGAAAATACAAAATATGAAATAAAAGAGAAAAAACGCTTGTTGTTTAACCAACCAGAAATAATCACTTTTCTAATTTTAGTTTATCACATTCCAGATACTGTTTAGATATAACCATTTTGAAATGATAGCCATCATGGATAAACTGGTTTGTGAGATGACTTTTTCACTTTCTATTATATCATTTTTTTAATGGCATAAATATCTTTCTACAAAAATGTAATGAATGCATAATGGGGTAGGCTTAAAACAATATTTTGAATGCCTTAGGGATGATATCTGCTTTGCTACTCTTATCAACACATTGTTGATAAAGTGGCTAATTTCATCACATCTGTGTCTGTGAAAACCTTGGGCTCATTTGTCTTGTACCCGTGTCGACAGGAATTTTGTGGTAGTTTCAGAAAAACTTGTACACACACACACCCCACTTTATATTAGAGAAAAAATATCCAAGATACAAAAATAAAATTTAGCTAAAGAATGAATAACTACTTGGATTTTCAAAACCAAATTTAATTTTATTAGAAAATTCTCATTTCCAGGTCAAGTTAAGGATGAGTCTTTATAATATTGGCTGGCAGTAATAATTGATGAGAAAATATAGGGATCTTTTCTGTGACTTATGTTTGTTGAGCTCATAGAAGCCAAAATGCAGATTGGTTCCTGGAGGACTTATTATTCTCCGCTTTATGTGTGAAAGTCAAATGATCTAAATGTTTTAAATTCCAAGATTTAATTTATCTAGGATCTAGAAAATATTTCTCATATATTATTGTTGATGACAAAGCTCAAAATAAACTTTTAAAATGATTTTGGCTCTTTTGTCTAAATGTGAGCAAAAAAAGCACTTCTAGAAGTTTTTATGAATACAAGGTTGATGATATGTTCAACTTGGCACATAATGAATTTCACCTTATTTTTTAAATGACAAATTACTATAAGCCATATGTTAATAGTCACTATATAAAACACATTTTATTTGTAAAACTGTAATTCTGTTTGTAAGGTAAATGTTCTACATAAGGACAGGTGAATTCTAGGTTGTAATTACCATTAATATTCTGCTGGTACACCATGTATAGATAATACTGGAGATCTATATATAATTTTACACTTTAGGTTTTAATTGATATTTTCTTGAACTTCTCTTTTGCAGTTAAGAACTGGAAATGAATCAGCTTGTATTTTTCCTCGTATTTGGACCCTGGTTAGTGGTCCTAAAAAAATTAAACCAAACTCATACAAACACCTATGATTTTGGCAGAATACACATTCTGAAAAATTTCTTTAGGTATAAAATTGAAATAAATCTGAGTCTCCTTTTTTTGTACATTATTTCATAACATCTAGAATAACCTGGCTTATTCTCTGCAGGAATAGACAATAGGCAACATTCTAACCACATCACTTTATTGTTTCGATTTGGGAGTGATTTGAAAAATCAAGTAATCCTACTAGGAAATTACTGAAAGAATGCATTTGGGATTATTATTCTCAAATAAAAATCATTTACATTTTTGGCAGATGTTCTCCAACAATTAACATTCTTACAGCTAACATTTTTCATAAGAAAATAACTCATCTATTTCTTTAGCTGTATATTCGCCAATTATTAAAAACTTAAAAAATCAAATGTACTTCAAATGAATTTGTTATAAGAGCTTCAACGAGATTGGCTACTGCCATGGCAAACAATTTATAACATTTTCTTTGTAAATGTGAACACCTCTTTGATATGCCGTGTTTATTGTTGTCTTGATTTATGGCATAGAACTTGAAGGACTCCATTCTTCAAGAATGTCTTAGCCCCATCCACAGATCTTTGTTTGGCCCACCTTGTGCTCAGTTTATGCACTGATATTTTTATGCACGCTGCTTCATTAATTGGGAAAGCATATGAACTTAACATCAGTCTGCATCACATTTGTAGTTCAGATTGTTATCAGATAACATAACCCTTAAGTCTGTGCTGCCTAATTCTTATCTAAAGTTTTACTGCAAGAAACAGTCATTTTGAAGGGATTTTTGAAGGGTATACAGTGTAAACCATTACTCTAGATTACTTACATAATGCCCTATGATGATCAGGCACTCTGACAGTAGTGTTAACAATGCTGTTTGGACTGTTTTAAGAATTGCTTTGACAAAATTGGTTATGCCATTGGCTTTCAATCAAAGACATTATGGGCAACAACCATACAAAAATTGTTACTATGGTTATATTAAATATGTTGGTAAAGACACATTTCCGTAAGATTTTATAGTGATTGATGGGTCAGATTTTTCTGATGTCTCTTTTTAGAGTGTCACATGAGGAACTGAATGTTTATTTAATGGAAACTTTTGTTTCTGTTTCTCGTTTTGTGTCTTATTCTAGAGAGTGTACACTAAGCCATTTAAAATACTTTGTATAATTAAGGTCAAGATAGTTTTTATGGCCGGGCACTGTGGCTCACGCCTGTAATCCCAGCACTTTGGGAGGCCGAGGCGGGCGGATCACGAGGTCAGGAGATCGAGACGGTCCTGGCTAACACGGTGAAACCCCGTCTCCACTAAAAATACAAAAAATTAGCCGGGCGTGGTTGCAGGCGCCTGTAGTCCCAGCTACTCGGGAGGCTGAGGCAGGAGAATGGCCTGAACCCGGGAAGCGGAGCTTGCAGTGAGCCGAGATTGTGCCACTGCACTCCAGCCTGGGCGACAGAGCGAGACTCCATCTCAAAAACAAAAAAAAAAGATTTTATTTACTCTAGATTGAATTTTCTTTAAATATAATAAAAATAAGACTTCAATTTTGTTCTTTAATCTCCGAAGAGATTACCTAAAAGCGAATCTACTTTTAATATTAAGTAAGGTAACAATGACAAATTGGAAAATGTCTGATGTCTATTCCATTTCATGCTCAATATAATCATTTTTACATTTATTTTTGTATTGTTGATTATCAATTTATCAAGTTGTAATAGAGTTTATTGGTTAAATTGTTGTGATTCAGTAGGTTGCCTCAACATATATCAGATATAATTGATTAATAAAAAATGTAAGAGGTTTTTTATGTTGTATTATGATACATAGAATGCTTTGATGTTGCATTCTGAGAAATAAAGAAAATATAAATGATATCTATAAAATGCCAGAGAGAAAATTACCCATTACTGATTGTAACAGCCCAATCTAATAGCATAAAGTTATCTTAGCTGTATACCATTAAATATCTAATATACGTGTACACTATTCTTTACTCCACATCAAATGGACTGGTTAATTCAGAAAATGTGCAATCTTGGAAACATCAGAAAATGAGCATCTCTGTGCATAAAATTATCTTATGCTATACATGTCAAATACTTGGCAGGCAATTCTAGAAAACTCCTGAAACTTGTGATTTTCTTCAAATGAATTTGAAATTAAAATGTCCATTCAAATATTTTTAGGTGTAATGAGCTTCGTGTAGCCTGGAACTAGTAATGACTGCTTTGTTTGATATCGTTGGACAGTAGTGTATATCAAAATAGCAACTTTTCAGCAAATGAAAATTTAAGACTTTGAGCAAGGAAGATTTTAAAAACAATCCTTCTGATTATTTTTTCACAGCATATTTTTTAATGAATTGCCATCTTCAAAAGAGAACAAGGAACATAATTTAAGCTTTATATGATGACTCGAGGTTATTATTATGAACATTCATGCTACAGTGTAATCAAGTTATGCCTCTGAGGTTTTTACTGATGCTTGATCTTCTGAAACTAGGTTCAGACTTCTATTCTTTCTGGATTTTTCTGGCGATTCTAACCTTAAGTTAACCTTGAGCTTTTGGAATATAGGTAACTTGAGTAAGAGTCACAGGTGGGGTTATAGATGAAATCATATTTTTGTTTTATACTTATTGGGCTAATTTATACTGCCAACTATCTCTGTAATAATATCTCTATATTTAGAGATACATCTATATCTATAATATCTCTATAATCATGTAAATTATGTCTGTTAAAAAATAAAAGGGATACACACACGTACACACATTCACATCACAAAAGCTTGCTTTAACCATTCAAAAAGTATGCTGTTTTCTTTGAATCATGTCAAGTAGTTTGCATGATTGTAGTTATAAGTTGTTGACTAAAGCATAGTTTCCAAAATTAAATTACTTAAAGCACATATTTTATCATATCTTGTTGGTTCCTACGAAATTAAAATGAGTTCATTTGCACAACATTTATTAAATGACAATGATCATGACTCTTCTATTTGTACCCTTGCAAAATTTTCAATTGCTTTCATTATGAGCCTAAAATCTTTACAGTTGCTTCTACCAATAATGTTCAAAAAATTTTAGTAACATGTTTCCTAATTTTTAAAATTAACAATACTTCCTTGTACATTTTTAAACTGCATTTCAGTATTTTAAATATTTATGTTTACTTAATAGAAAATAAAATTACACAGTTTTACCTACAAATATACTACTAAATGTGTAAAACTAATCTATAATGTTATTTTTAAATTAGAATCCAAATGTTAAATAACTTGGTACCTACACATGCTCTTACATTCCTTAAAAAGTATCTGAACAAACACATCTAAAATAGTAAAAATTTTACATAGTCACATTTTATATTTTAAATTATATTTCCATTCCAATTTTCTTGCAGACTGTTATCCTAATGTAATATTATTTGAATGTTTGCAAGTCTTATATTGATCACTGTACCATATACACCTGAAAATAGTATGTATAAGATAAAATTAAAGTTTATTAAATAGTTTTCTGGGATCAGTTCATTGGAAGTGTATCTAAAGCAGAGTGGATGCAGATTTTGATTTTCAGTCTGTCCATGTATCTGTGGGTTAATATTTCATTCTCTTAGCTCATCAAGTGCCGACTTATGTTAGCTACCATTAAACAAAATTGCAAAGGACTTATTACCTATTCACTAGAATAGTTCACTTTCTTGATTTCTTAGCAGTATATCAAGAAGGATTTGCCAATAGTTACAAAATGACTTCTATAATGTATTTTAATTTATTTCTAAAATATATCTTATGTAAATCTGGGCTGAAAACAAAATCTGATAAAAATTGGACATTTTATATTTTAGGCTTTTAGCCATTGGCTGTGAATAAAGATTTATGTATATATTGGGTAATTTCAAGATATATTGTTATTTAATAGTTGAAAATATTTAATATTTTAATTATGCATTTTAGTGGACCAGTAAAAGACAGCAACATCCGAGAGGACAGGGGGCTTTCTGTATCCTGGGGTTCTTGCGTTGGTGTACCGGAAAAATCAGATCACACGTGGGCTTGGAGAATGAATGCAAGGTTTCCTTGAATGATGGAAGTAGCCCTCAGCAGATAGATGGGGAGCCAGAAGGGGTATGGAGTGGGAAGGTGGTTTTTTACTGGAGTCTTACCCCTCAGTGGCCAGACTCTCCTGCAACCACTCCAGCCAAATTCCCCTTGGCGTCCATGTTGTTCTGCTGGTTGATGGCCTGCTGGCTTCTGCCAGTGCCTGTGGGTCTCCTCTTCCGCTCCTCTGCGCCTCTGGACATCCAGCTGCCTGTGTGCTCTTCTGCCAGTGTGTTCCTCTCGACACCCGGCCACTTGTGTGTGTGCCATCTAGGGTCTTGGCTGATTAACACAAGCCGCCTACAGATGATACAACTAAAAGGGCACACTGTAACATGCCCACTGTGGCTAGGTGTAATATGCCTACACTGTTAACTACACCGTGGCTAGGTATAGTATGCCTACACCTTCAGGCCCTGAAATATGTGAAGTGTTGTAGAAAAAGGATATGATTTGCTTATGAGGGCTATAGGAGGGGGAAAAAGTGTCATTAAGTCTATCTGAAACGGGAAAAGTTCCCTTGTCCGCCTGGCAGGGCGTGAGATGGGGGTGCGGCTCGCTTATTCAGTGCCCCGCTGCTTAAAACCCCTAGGAGGGGCAGGTAGATGAACAGGTCTTTGGGAGCATGGGCTCCGACCCTACAGAAGCACCTAGGGGTGAATGTTTCCAGCTCCTGAAGCCACAGTGTGGCAGGAGGATTGCTTGAGCCCAGGATTGCTTGAGGCTGCAGTGAGGCGAGATTATACGATTGCACTCCAGCCTGGGCAACAGAGTGAGACTCTATCTCAAAAAATAAATAAATGAAATAAAAAGCAAAACATCTCCTAAGTTTAACTCATATAAATAAGATCACGCTGATCTTTCTCTGCAAAACAGCCCTCCATGCTTGATTTTTCTTTTTTTCAGTTCCCACTTTCGTTTTTAATAAACAATGTCATGTAGCTGTATCCAAAAATACATTCCAAACCAACCATTTCTTCTATCACCATTCCTACCTCCATAATATAATCCAATATGTTTTCTTGCCAAGGGTGCCACAAAAACTTTCCAAGTGGTTTTTTTAAACTATTATCAGAAAACTCACTAATGAAGTATCAAAGTATTGGTAAGATACAAGGCTGCAAAAGTGATTGTGTCTGAGCAGTTTCCATTTGTTTGTTTATTTAGCAAATGGTAATTAAGCATCATTTAATACAATCATCCAGTGACTCTTCTTTGAACTTTTTCAAACTCTTTCCCGTATGTAATTATCATGTGGCTCTTACTTGCTCTGTCTCTTACCTAACTCTTCAGGGTTCACAATAACTCAGACACATTTGACTTTTCTCTCTTCTTTTAGATATGCCAGTGTTACTACAGAAAAGGGAATTGTTGTTACTGCTCTTCTGAAATGTTTTTATTAGCCACATCATTTTTATCATCACTTAAATTATAAGTGATATCGTCACAGAGAAGCCTTCACGCACCTTATCAGTTAACAGCTATTTCCTGTTCCACACCCTAATTTGGTCGCTTGCTAACACATTTTCCGTTTTTTTTCCGTTAGCGATTATAGCACTAGGAAAATATCTTCATGCATTTTATTTCATTTTTAAGAAGTTTATTCATTTACTTTCTTACTCTGCAAGTAAAAGTTAAGACCCAAGTCAGCAGGAATCTCTCCCATCTTTCTCATCATTATGTCCCCAGCATCAGAACAGTGCATGGTCTATTGTAGATGATCAGTAAATATGTGTTGAATAATAAATGATTGAAAACCCCTGCAAAATCTGCCCCTGGCCCCTGGCTGCAAGGTCTTCCATCACACACCAGTCACCCTTTGCTCTACGCACTCTAGTCTTAGAGCCTTCTCAGACCCTTGAAAGCATCAAGCTCCTTCCAGCCTCAAAGGCTTTACACATCTTTGAGACTTCTCGGTGAAATAAACATGTAGGTCATTCATCAAGTGTAAGCTTGTAAGTTGTTGGAGGGATGAAAAGAAAGGAAGATATACAATGAGCATCTTAAGGAGTGGGGAAGAAAGTAAACTAGAACAAGATAGTCATTGTGCCATAAGGTTAGAGATTCCCTGTTAGGTCATCACATAACACCCTGTATCTTGTAGTCCAATCACAGTGGCAATGAATTAATTTTCTTATAATTTATTTAATATTTGTTTTGCAACAGTGACAATTTGTTTTGTTCATGACTGTGCATTTAGCTTAGCCTATGATTGTATTAAAGGATGTTCAATTACTATTTGCTAAATAAATGAACAAATGGAAACAGTTCAGACACAATTATTTTTGCAGCCTTGTATCTTACCAATACTTTAACTCTTCATTGGGACAATTCCATTTCTCCTTCTTAAGCCTGCTTACTTTGTTTATGCTGCTCTATTTTTCTTATTCAGAATGCTCTTTCACAAAATTTCCACAGTTGATGTTCTGCTACACTTCACTTTTCACCAACTGCATTAATTATTCTTGAAGTCTATCTAGTTTCCATTAGTTATAACGAATTTATCTGTATTCTGTACTTAAAGCAGTTTGCCTTCCAGCTACTTCCACCATAGTTGTACCCTAATTAGTTTGTGCATGGCTTATTATTTTCTTAGGCAACAAACTTTATGAGCTCTTACATCTACATAGTTGTTTGATCAATTACAGAGTTAATACATGATGTGGCTGGCACAGTGGTTCATGCCTGTAATCCCAGCACTTTGGGAAGCTGTGACAAGAGGATTGCTTGAGGCCAGGAGTTCCAGACCAGCCTGGGCAACAAGCAAGACCCTATCTCTACAAAAAATTTAAAAGATTAACCAGGTGTGGTGGCACATGTGCCTGTAATCATTGCTACTCAGGAGGCTGAAGTGGGAGGATCACTTGAGCCCAGGAGTTGGAGGCTGCAGTGAGCTATGATATGTACTCCAGCCCTATTAACAGAGTGAGATCTCTAAAAAAACAAACAAAAAACCTCCATGATTTGTTAATAGCCACAAATTCATATTGAAAATAAATTACTTCATTTTTTATTATATATGCTATATTTAACAACTATATATATTTTCCAAATATATTGTTTACTCATAAATATGTGTTAGTCATCATTTATATTTTTAAGGTCTCCATATTTTAGACGATTTTTGTTTGTCATCAAAATATTGCAATAATATTAAAAAGACTGTCCTTTCTCAATCAGTGACAGAAAAATCCTGAAGTTGTTGCTGAGATACCTACAATCTAACATAATGAATATTTTTTCTTCACATAGAAGCAGATGGGTGTAATAGTTGATAATCATGTTTCCTAAACTATTACCTCAATACCCATGATTTTTTTTCTGAAAGATATCACTACATCAGAGAGAAGGAAAAATGTCTACAGTTTTCAACTTAAAAGATACCTTCTTTAAGAATCTTATATGCTTATTCTGTTTATATATATGCATGTCTTATAAATTTATATGTAAATTTATAAATTATCACAAATATACACATTTATATAAGTGCAATTTATACATTTAATATATATTTGCATAGACATATCACTGAGGTCTCTATTTACTTATTTGACTGGTGAGACAAAAAGCAATAGTACATAGGTGCAGCAACAGTCCAAAAATGACACTTCTCTTCTTGCTGAAATAGTTGCTCAATACTTTTCACTCAGTTGTGGTATACATGGCAGGGAGTTATTTTTGCCCTCTGTTTCCCATTGATTTAGTTAGCAATACCAGCTTGAGTGCTTGGAGTCTTTTACATGATCAGTGGATAGTACCTTCTTGCAAAGGCCTGGAGGTCATACATTCAGTATCTAATATTGTTTAGGTCATTACATTTGAGAGGCATTAAAGCCATTTCTCTGTTCCCTGTTTCTTAGAGGTTTATAATTTTTCACCCAGAGTGGTTAAAAATTCGACACACATTGGTCTGTAAATCAAACGTCTATTCCAATACTATTTTACAGAATGCACTTATATTAAATATATCTGGAAGAATTGTTCTCACATGGCATGGAAGTCACAAGAGTGAAGAAGTTGACCATTATTAAGTAGTTTGAACTTTAGAAAGAATTAAAAGTTGAAATTTATTTGACAGATTGAATAACTCAAAGTTATAGAAGTTAAATTGAGTTGGAATTTATATGGCAGATTGACTTTGTGTAAGTGAAGATCCAATCTCCATCATTAATGTGATATCAATTTTCAGGATCATGATGAGTCAAACTGAGTTTCTAGAATTTTATCTTCAGTTAATGGAATAATTTTGTGTTATTTTCTTGTTAGACATTAGTATGATCTTACCACACACTTCATTTTTTAATGTTGTTAAGAATTATGCACATGATATCTTTTGGAAAAATTAATCTCTCTATACAGTGGCATGAAATGTTTTCATAATGACATACTATCTTTTTCAGTTTCTTAACCATTTTCTTGAAAACTTTAATGGTAACACAATCACCACTATTTTGGAATTCTCCATCACATCCATTTTTGTAATTATTAAAATTAGAGAGTAAATGTATGTTTTTTTAATTTCTGAACTTTATTAATAGATATTAATCAGAATAAATTTCTATGGCTTGATTATATATCCTGCTACTGCAAAAGAAATGCTGTTACTTCAATGACTCATTATTGTAAGAAACTTGATTTTATTCACTTCGCAGTTTACTGTGAACTTTATTAGCGTGGCTTGTATTTAGTCTTTTTGACAATTGGCACAATTTGGTGATTATTTTATGAAACCAATTTGGCTGTACATTTATAGGATAATTTACCATTTTAGCATTTAGATATTTGCTGATGTGAGTGTAGCCTGAGAAATACATTAAATTTTATTTTGTGCTATAATGTACTTATTTTCCTTCTAAGAAAATAGCTATTATAGACCTTTAAAATACTCATTTGCAAAGGCTTTTATTTCAGAACCTAAAAGAGAAAACAGAGTTACGGATTAATAAACATTTTGAGTACCCTTCACTAATAAAACCAACAATAAAACAGGTGAGGCTTGTTTGACTTTATTTTGTCGATGGTTTATCCTTCTCTTATTATGCCTGTGCTTGTTTGGTATTCTGTAGCCTATAAATCACCTCCATCCATCTCACAATGAGAACTCATAATAATGGAACTTTACAAAAAGGAAAAGTACACTAGGTAAATCTCTAGTAATTTGAGATGCCATACAGATTTTGTCCAACCTTCTCTGCTGCTAAAGAGAAATTGCTACTTTAACGTGAAAAAGGCCCAGTCTTCATTCTACAGGTATGACTTCATAGTAAAAGGAAAACATATGAAAAAGAAAAATTTGATTCAGTGCCTTAAACACTTCATTTTACCAATTATGATTTGTAGAATGAAGTAGTTGAGGAAATTTTCTATCATTATAAACTTAAAAGCAAAAGAGAAATGAGAGTTAAGGTGCTCTAACCTAATACCAAGCCTTTAAAAGGCACATACTGTATAAGATGGTAATAAGATTTCTGGGATATGTATAAGTTTGGGATTGGAATGAGGATTTAGCAATTTGGTACAGGCATATCCTTGAAATAAGCAGGAAGAAGCCTGGCTAGTAATTCTAAACCTTGGTTCAATGAATTCAATAAATAATAACTAACGACCTAGCTGTGTATCAAGAAGCTTTTAAGACATTCGTGTCAAGGATTACAGGGGGCTTAAGTTTGGGGCCCACTCAATATATGCCATATTTTTATTTTCTCTCACTTTAGAATAATAATAGCCCTGGGGCTTTCAAGATTATTTTATACCAAAAGTTACCAAGAGTTTCCTTAGCATATACAGGGAAGTTACCCAGCAAGGAGCTTAGCTTCTTTGATCTCGTGATTGTAAGGAAACAAAATATTGAATCTTACCACATTCAAAATAGTATATGCCTTTTTGTTTTTAGTTTATTCACAATAACCTTCTTTCTTTAAATATTACTTTTAATTCACATTCTTTTCATATAAAGGAATAGTATGCACTATAAATTAATATTATATAGGAATCAGTACTTTTATATTTTTATCAGGGCTAGAGAAGAAAGTAACATTGAAGGACGCATGGACAGGTTGAGAGAGGAACAAGAGATTATTTAGAGGGATGGTGAGGAGTGTACTTCGGGCCCAGGCTGACATGGATTTGAACACCTGTCCTTTTGTTTCTGGCTTAAGTTGCCCAAAATTAAGTTTCTTGAGTATTCTTAGTTTCAATTTCATCATTTTAAAATGTAATTAATGCTTGCTTGTGCTTAATTTTAATATATTGACACTGAAAAGATTCAACAATTGAGTGTTTTTAAAAATTTGAATACTATAGTAATACCATGAATGGAAAGAATGAAGACAATTTTGGAGCATTAGAAAAATGAAACTGAATATCTGAGTTTGGGTAGGGAGGGAGGTTGAAACTACTAACAAACTTCATTTATTTTGAAAATTATTCTATTCATGAAACAAAAACAATAACAAACCAAAATTGCATTCATGCTCCAAACAATGCAACAGTCTTCTCTTTTAATGTCTGTGATTAATACTATGCTGTGTGCTTTATTCCTCAGTACCTCTCAATGGACTCTTATTAAGCTGTTTTATTGCTCAAATGTCAGATCATACCACCTGTATTCTCTTAACATTTCATTTATTCAAGTGATAAAAACCCTAAAAGGGAAATGGAGTAAGACGGATTTCCATTATATTTGTTAATATTTACCTTGCTCATCTGAAGGCTTTATGATTTGTGTCTTTCTCTGAATCTGTCCAGACAGCTGTAACTGCTTAACCTGAACCTCTGCAGAAAATAATGTATTTTCTGCTTATGCTAAATGCATAATTTGGTTTCTGGGGAATGGGGAAGGGACGGCTTTTTGGGTTAGGTAGATACAAATTTTTAACTTACGTTAAGTAGTTATTCTTTTTGACATGTAGTCAAATAGATCAGTTAATAAACAACACAGCCCTTTCATAATTTAATTGTTCTTGATTTCTATTTTATATTGTCAAACAGTCTTTCATCTTTTTGATGTGGTATTTGTAACTTTTGGTCCTGTAAAGATAAAACAAACTTTTCATGTCTCCTTATTTTGCTTTTAATAGTATTTATCTTCTCTCATTGTGTCTACATCTTTGTCATTTCCCAGGTGATGGTCTAAAGATTGAATTGTGTTTATTACTTTAAAGCTTGTATGCTTTATCATCTAAATTTATACGACTTTTTTGGAAGTTTTGATGACTCCTTTTCCAGATATTCTTTTATCTTTCTACAGCACTGCACAGGTGCAAACTTATTTTCCTCTTAAGGATTACTAGAATTTAAATACATGAATTCGATGACTTCCCTAAATTCAAGTTAGAGCAAATAAATAGCTGTCTCTCTATCAACATATCCTTCCAATACTGTTATTAACCCGAAGTTGGGTGATATTATGTTTTTTATTCAGCTTATTTTTAATGTTCTATGAATACTATGGATTCCCAAAATAAAATCTAGAGTTTTCATACAGCATTAAAAACATTTTAATCCAGTACAACAATGTTTTACCTTTAATTAACATGACTAAAGTCTGACATTAGCAAATTTTGAGAAATAAACCTATCTGCACTCCATAAAACTGGCCATATTCTTAAAATGAGAGTATTAAAAACATACCAAGGTTATCTAGAAAGTGTTAAAGAACTTTAATATTGTTATGGCTATATAGAAGCCATAACACTTTTCTTCTTATTGAAGGAATTTTGTTGATGACAAAATATGAGGATAAATTACAGAGTCAAGTGTCCTTTGCAATGATTCAGGACCTCAATTTGTTAGGAATATCAGAGAGGAATAAATGTTTTTAACAGAGTCTTTCTTGGAAAAGGTTTTGATTTACCAAAAATGGCAGAAAATGCAGAGCTTCCATAGGCTGGAACTCCTACCCCACACCGTTTGCCCTATTTTAACATTTTTTCTCAGTGTAATATATTTATTACAATTGATGAACCAATATCAATACATTAGTTTAACTGAAGTTCATCATTTATATTAGTGTATTTGTACAGTACAAATACTCTGTATTGTACAGATTTTTTGTTTTGACAAATGCATTATTTCTTGCATCTACCACTACAATATAAAATTTCACTGCCTTAAAAATGCCCTACTTTCCATCTATTTATCTATCTCTTTTCTCCTTAACCACCTGTCACCACTGATATTTTTACTGTCTTTATACTTTTAACTTTTTTTAGATTAGCATGTATTTGTCTTTAAATGGTATGTAGTCTTTTCAGACTGCCCTTTTTCACTTGGTGATATGCATTTAAGATTCCTCCATGTCTCTTTGTGGCTTGATAGTTTATTTTTATTGCTGAATAATATTTTATTGCATGGATGTATCACAGTTTTATCCATTTACCTATTTAAGAACATCTTGGTTGCTTCCAAATTTTGGCAATTCAGAAATGGAAAGAGTTGGTGCCTCCTGCTTTATACCTCTTGCAATGAAAACTATGAGTATATACTCAATGCAATACTGTTTGCATTTTAGGTTCTACGTCTGTTGTTTTGGTCATGTTCTTTCAGATGGAAATGACAGTCATCTTTTACAGAAGTGATATGTGTGTATTGTGAATAAAGCTGCTATAAACATCCATGTGCAGGTTTTTGTGTGGACATGAGGTTTTACATCATATGGGTAAACATCTAGAAGTGCAATTGCTGGATCTTACAGTAAGACTATGTGTAGCTTTCTAAGAAGCTGCCAAAATGTCTGCCAAAGTAACTCTACTAGTGTGCATTCCCAAGGCAGTGAAAGAGACATCATGTTGCTTCACATCTTTGACTGCATTTGAGGTTGCCTCTATTTGGGATTTTAGCAATTCTAACATGTTTATGGTTGTATCTCACTGTTATTTTAATTTGTAATTCCATAATGAAATATGATGTGTAACATTTTTTTCCATATGCTTCTTAGCAATCTATGTATCTTTTTGGGAGTGTGTTTTTTAAACCATTTTTGTTTCTTTTCTCTTATTGTAAAGTTTTAAGAGTTGTCTCTATTTTTTTTAATGCAAGGCCTTTATTAGATGTGTGTTTTGCAAAGATTCTAATACCAGTCTTTGGCTTTTTTTTCATTAATTTTCTTAACAGTGACTTCTGCAAATTGGAAGAATTTTTAAAACAAAGTCAAATCTGTCAACTTTAAAATGGATTATACTTTGATATTAAATATGAAAAGTAATTGCAAAACCTGAGATCATCTAGATTTTTTTCTATGTTATACTCTAAAGTTTTATAGCTTGGTATTTATATATTTAGCTCTATGATCCTGTTTGATTTGATTTTTGTGAAAGATGTAAGGTCTCTGCCTAGATTCATTATTTTGCATCTAGACTTCCAGTTGTTCCAAGGGTATCTGGTGAAGGGACTCTACTTTTCTTTATAAAATTGCCACTGTCCCTCTGTTAAAGATTCACTGACTACATTTCTGGGCTCTTCATTCTCTCCCATCGAATACCAGACTGTTGTGATTATTGTAGCTTTACAGTAAGGCTTGAAATCAGGTAATGTCAGCTGTCTGACTATTTTCCTTGTTTAAATCCAGTATTGCAGTGGTTATTTTGGGTGTTTTGCTTTTCTATAGGAACCTTAGAATCAGCTGAGATCCACAAAATACCTTGTTGGGATTTTGCCCAAAATTACATTCAGTCTACAGATCAGGTTGGGAAGAGACGATATTTTAACACTATTTAGTCTTTCTATGTATGAATTTGGAACAGCTCTGCACTTATTAAGATCTTTCCTTGATTTCTTTCATTAGCATTTCATTGTTTTTCTCATATAGAACTTGCAGATATTTTCTTAGATTTATATATCAGTATTTATTTTTGAATGCTAATGTAAATAGTGCTGGCTTTAAAAAATCAGATTCCTACTGTTCATTGCATGTGTATGGCAGAGAAACTATCTTTTGTATGTTACCCTCATAGTCTGCAATCTTGCTATGACTGCTAATTAGTTCCAGGAGGTTTTTATTTGTTTGTTTGTTTATTCTTTGGGATTTTCCACATACATAGACAATTATAACAGCTGCAAACAAAGACAGTTTTACTTATTCCTTCTTCTAGTTTTGTACAATTAATTACAATGTTCACTGTAGGATTTGTTTTTGTTTTCTTTTAGGTGTTCCTTATCAAGTTGAGGAAATTATCTCTATTTCTAGTATTCTCATTGTGAATGAGTGTTGGATTTCATCAAATAACTTTTCTGCATCTACTGATCTAATCCTATGACTTTTTTCTTTAGCCTGTTCATGTGAATGATTACATTAATTGATATTTTAATATAGAACCATCTTTCCATAGCTGAAATTAGTCCCATTGATGAGAAATTGTTTTTTTAAATATGGCAATAAATGCTATTGTATTTATTTCCCTATTTTATTGTTAGCTTATTTTATGATTTTAAAATGAATTAAATTTTAGCAGCCAAACAAACTTTGTGTGTGTGAGTGTGTGTCCATGTATAACCTTTCAAAAAGCACACTGTTAAATGAGAGTGAAGTAGCTAGAAGTTAATTGGCAGTGATGTTAAGTTCAAGGGCAAACCTTCAGTGTTTTCTGTGTTTATATTAAAAAGCCACTTTTTAAAATGCTGAGAACACCTTAAAGAGTTGTATATGTAGCATCTCTTTATAAATGAAAGTGGCAGAGTTAATATATCACTGTCTTTTGAGAATATTCTATTTTCTTATGTTAAGGTGCTATTACAAAAGTGAACATCTGGAAGGGCCCCTGGGATGTGATGTTACATGTTTTCCTTCATGCTTCTTATTTGTCAGTCATTTACCTGGCTTTGTGTTTCACTCCCTAAAAAATGCATCGCCTCTCCTGCTGTGCTTCTTGTAATCATGAAGGAGCTGCCATCTAAGTGAATAAATAGTCTCTTTTCCAGGTGATTAATTAAGATCCATACATTCTTCCAACCACAGATAAGAAGTAACAGATGCTTCACACACTGTGGCATCAGAGTATTAGTGAGGACCACTAGCTCAAAGAAATTGGGCCAATTAACAAAAATGCTGGTGCCCAGAAGCATGTGCTATGATATTTATAGATCTTGAAAAGGATAATCTCAGACCTAACTCTTAGATATTTATTATTATTCTGCAATGGTTTTGTATTGATGAAATGTCATTGAAGAAAATTGCATTGAAAAAGTCAACAAAAATAAATGCAAGCCACATTTTGTTCCTAGATGTGTAAGACCCATAATTCATGCAACTGCTGTATCCAAGCAACATATGCACTTCAAATGAACATCAGGATGAACACCCTAATAGACAAGGTGATGATCATTTAGGTGGGATTTTTTTGAAGCTCTACGACCAACTATAATTTTGTTAAGTGTTTGCTGGGGTCATATCCAGACTGCCTCTTAGGAAAAAAAAACTGAATCAATTTGAATTCTGGCTTCCTGAAATATTGAGTGACAAGAAAAATAAAAGAACAAGAATCTGGCTAGCTATCCTAGTTGTAAAGCTGGAAATCTTATTCAAAATCATCCTCATCCTATACTTGCCAGATACTTATTTCTAAATCAATTAGATGTAAATATATCCTTAGTAAAAGATATGAATCAAAGGGATTTCCTGACTCTAAAGCTGCAATCGAAAGTTGGTCTGAGTCAGCTAGAATGGCCACATGCTATAACTCTCCACAGGTACCTTCCAGTGGTCCAGCATGTAAACACATAGTTATGTGTAATGCAAAGCATGGATCCTCTTTACTGCCTGTATTATCACAGTAATTTGTATGGATGATAGTTGAAAAATACATAATTGTTCCTTTTTATAGTGCCAAGCTGTTAAGGGTATTTTCTTTTTTACAAAGAGGAAGTGAAAAGATCTAATTTTCATCTTTGAAGATAATTGAGTTAGTTATGAAGAATGGAATGGGATATTGAGAAATCAAAATCTGTCAAATACGAGCAGAAATAAAAACATTACTTATCCTGTTGTTTACTTAAAAGAATTCACAGTATCTGATTTTATGTTAATTTTAGTATAATAGTTCCTCTTTATCTGCAGTTTCACTTTCTTCAGTTTCAGTTACCTGTGGTCAACCATGGTCCAAAAATATTAAATGGAAAATTCCAGAAATAATTCATAAGTTTGAAATTGCATGTCATTCTGAGGAGCATGATGAAATCTTTGGCCTTTCCGCTCCGTCCCTCCTGGAGGTGAATCATCCCTTTGTCCACAGTCCCCACACTGTCTACTCTCTTCAACCATTAATCACTTAGTAGCCATCTTGGTTATCAGATCCACTGTTGCAATATTGCAGTGCTTGTGTTCAAGTAACATTGATTTTACGTAATAGTGGCCCCAAAGCACAAGAGTAGTAATGCTGGCATATTGTTAGAATGTTTTTATTTTGTTATCATTGTTGTTAATCTCTTACTATGCCTACTTTATAAATTAAACTTTATCGTCGATATATATGCATAGAAAAAAACATAGTAGATATAGAGTTTGGTACTATCTGCGGTTTCAGACATTCACTGGGGATCTTGGAACTTACCTGTCACAGACAAGGGGAACTACCACTGTAAACTACAACTCAACATGTTCAAAATTAGATCATTAATTGCATTTGGTCATAACTATGATTGCTAAATGATTCTAGTCAGTGGTGACCAGCCTCTAAAATGACTCTTATTGATTACTGCTTCCTAGTATTGACACCTTTGTGGATTCTCTTCCCATATCACATAGAGATGACTTGTGTAATTAATAGGGTATTGAGAAAAATAGCAGTGTGTGGTTTCTAAGACTACATTATAAAAAAACATTGCAGTATACATCTTCCTTTCTCTTGGAACACTTGTTCTGTGGAGGCAAGCTGCAGTGTTATGAGGACCCTCTAAGAATACTGTGGAGAGATACACATAGCAAGAAACCAAGGCCTCCCACCAGCATCCACAAAGCTATGAAGGCAGGAGTGCAGTTCAATTTTCAAATGACTGCACCCTAGACAGTGTCTTGATGGTAACCTAACAGAGCTAGAACCATGCTGCTAATCTGCTTTAAAATTCCTGACCCACAGGAACAGTAGGTAATTAATATGTGCTGTTTGAAGAGTCTAAGTTTTGGGGTAACTTGTTAAGAAGTGATGGAGAACTAATGCCCAGACCATTAGCAAATAGTTCTATAAAAGTAATGATAGGCAGAGGCTTACAACTCACTTTAATGTGAGCCAGCTAATTATTGTTAAAGTGTGTTAACATTTTCATAAAATCTTTATGTTGATAACATTTTTAGGATAACGTGAAGAGCATTTGATCCGTTTTCAGTGCTTAATCATGAGCTCTACATTTCTTAGAATGGCATAATGATATCTGAGCTCAATTCACTTAACCATATCACTTTCTGTTGCTCACAATTTTATCTCTAGGCTACTCTTTCTTTTCTAACTATGTGAAGAATTCTGCCACTTTTCAGTATCTGCAAAATACTATTTTATTCTTTTATAGGAAACCATATGTGTTATTTATTCTTTAGGCGATATACTGATTCCTCATGATCGAATTAATACATACCTAAAGAGATGTTCTTGTGGAGAGCAGTATGGCAGTTCTTCAGAGTGCTAAAAGCAGAACTAACGTTTCACCCATGCTAAAAGCAGAACTAACATTTCACCCAGCAATCCCATTACTGGGTATATACCTAGAGGAATATAAATCATTCTGCAATAAAAAGACATCCACATGAATGTTCAATGCAGCATTATTTACAATAGCAAAGACATAGAATCAAGCTAAATGCCCATCAATTACAGATTGGATAAAGAAAATGTGGTACATATACACCATGGAATACTATGCAGCCATAAAAAAGAATGAGATAATGTCTTTTTCAGGAACATGGATGGAGCTGGAGGCTATTATTCTCATCAAACTGTCCCAGGAAGAGAAAACCAAATACCACATGTTCTCACTTGTAAGTGGGAGTTAGATGGTGAAAACTTACAAAGAAGAAAACAACAGACACCTGGGTTTACTTGAAGGTGGCGGGTGGGAGAAGGGAAAGTAACAGAAAAAATAACTATTGGGTACTGGGCTTAATTCTTGGGTAATGAGATATTCTGTACAACAAATTTCCATGACATAAGTTTACCTGTGTAACAAGCTTTCACATGTACTGCCGAACCTAAAATAAAAGCTAAACAAAAGGAAATGTGCTAATAATGTACTCCTTCATCATCCCATTCCTATGTAAATATTCAATAAAGCAAAATTTCTTCCCAACCTCAAATATAGGAGTTCATTATTATCCGTTACCCATATACCATAGGTTAGCATGTGATGATAATTGGTGATAATAATAGATGCTATCTATTAAGCTTTATGTAGCAAACATGTTGTTAAATACTTGCATTATCTTATTTAGCACTAATAATATTCTCCATTGAAATAATGTACATGTTTTTATTTCAATTTTAGAAATAAGAAAAGTTAGCAATCTACCTATTAATCCATTTTCACAGAATTATTCAGCTAGCATACATAAGACATAAGTTAATCTTAGTCACAAACTATGTTTCAAAATTGCCTTTCCTGAAATATGATAATGTTTTATTTTATTTGTGTATTTTTGAATTTGGGCATTATTTCTTTTGCTAGGTTTCTATGACTAATAAAACTGCTTCTTGAAAATTTCATTTGTTCATTCATTATGAACATATTCACTTAGCATCTAATATATATTATACTTTGTGTGAAAATAAAATGGTAAGCAAAGAAAATAAATGGCCTGACTTTATGCAGCTCATACTCTGCTGTGGAACTGAGGTTTTAATGCACAAAGAAGTATAAATTTGCAAGTGTTATAAATGCCTGAAAAATGATATGCAGTGTGGTGCTTGGTTTGGCTGTGTCTCCACCCAAATCTCACCTTGAATTGTAATAATCCCCATGTGTCAAGGGCAGGGCCAGGTGGGGATAACTGAATCATGGGGGCAGTTTCCCCATACTGTTCTCGTGATAGTGAATAAGTCCCATGAGATCTGATGGTTTTATAAAAGGGAGTTCCCCTGCACCCACCCTCTTGCCTGCCGCCATGTAAGACATGCCTTTTCTTCTGCTTTGCCTTCCACCATGATTGTGAGGTTTCCCCAGCCATGTGGAACTGTGAGTCCACTAAACCTCTTTCCTTTTTAAATTACCCAGTCTTGGGTATGCATTTATTGCAGCATGAGAACAGACAATTACAGTATATGAGTATCTATACCCAAGAATTTGGTCCAGAATAGGGCATCAGGCAAGGCTGAGTTTAGGACTAATGAATGTAAAGCATTATCCACTCAAAGTGAAGAGAAGAATCATCCCTGGAAGAGAGAACATCATGGGCAAAATATCTGAGGGTTATAGATCAAGATATCTGGTCATAAGGGAGGGGGCTTGGTTTATTTTAACCCATTATACATTGCAAAAAATAATAACTATTAATAACTTTTGGAACTATAGTTGCCAAAGGAAGTTTTACAAAAAGTTCATTGTAAATGCTGTATAGATACAATAGTGATATGGATGAAACAATCAGAAGGCTAATGTCATAGTACAGATAAATATCTGAGAGCAAACAATAGAAATAAAGTTTTTTTTTGAAAAAAACTAACTGCAGAAAATTCTCTTTGAGATTATTTACCACTACATATGATAATATTGCAAAGAAACTTCTTCTATTAGTTTAAAGAAAGATGTTGGAGTTTTAAACTGAGAAATTAAAAATAACACTGATTCTGTACCTGAGATTGAAAATAATTCAGATATGTCTTACATATTATTTAATAAATGTATAAACTGCTGCCAAGAAAAAAGGTATATTTTAATCATAAGCAATCATTGATAAATACTGCCTCTTTATGGCACTGTTAGGGGCAGACAGGAATTATCAGTTCAGTTAGCAAGAACATTACAAACCAGGAAAAGCCAAAAAGAAGAAATGCAAATCAACTTGGAGTTAAGTCAAAAAATCTCGAAAATACACCTCCTAAGAGAAGAACACAATTCACAGACAAGAAGCTGCTGCTAAAAAATTTAATTTCCAGTTATCCCTGCTTCCCTTCACAGAGTGGTAATGGTATCGCAAGGTCCATGTCAGCACCGTCAGTTTATAATATAATTAATGCAAGTAGCATTTTATTTATAATACCAAGAATGCTCAGTATATATGGTATTTCTATTATGAAATACTTAAGGAAACCAAACAATTCTAAAGGGCAACAGTACTCACCTGGAGAAAAACAACAGGTGAGTGCTGAGGGAGGATAAATTAATGACCATCATATGTATTCAGTACAATTCTTAGCATCTTTCTATATTCACTGACTGGCATTTTTCTAAAGCTCAGTGTTCCAGATACACTTTTTAATCCAGATGATTTTATCAATGGTTTGTATTTTCTTTCTGACAGAGAACATTTGTTGATGATACTTTTCCAAATTAAAAATGAAATGATTACTTAGAAACTGGAAAACAACAATCGAAACAAATAAAAAGAAACTAAATTGTATTCTGCAAAGCAAAATTTGTTAACTAAAAATATATCTTAGGTGCACATTATAATTTATCACTCAGAAATGTGAACAATGTTTGGTCCTAGGTAGAAAATTAAAACATCCTATATTTTTGTAAAAGCAGATTCAAAACAGGATAGTTTAAAGTTAGGACATTATACACCAAGACAAAAAATTATAACCAAATTAACAAAGCTGTTATATAAATATGTTCATATCATGGGTTTTAGAAATTTAATTACCTTTAAATACAGAATAACTATATAAGAAAATGAAAGTAAATAAATACCTAATAATTCATTTATATTTTGTCATGTTTTTATAATTAAATAGCAAGACAATTCAATAAAAAAAGTATTAATACAATTTTTCTAACATATTAAGTTAGAACAAATTGGTTATATTTTATCTGAAGGCTTAACTCCTTGTAGCTAAAAAATATTTATCAGTTTCTATTTATTGCTTAGAAATAATTTGAAAAGATATTTTCCCCTTATTTACCTTATTCTCTTCCAACTCTTTGTTATTGCTCTGCTTTTGTCTTCAACTTGTTAAATCTAATCCAATCTAATAATCTAATAATTCACTAATGTGAATCTGAACATGTCGTTAAGTAGCAGTGTAAACAATTTCTGGAAATATCTTCCTTTTTTTTTTTTTTTAAAGACGGAGTTTCGCCCTCGTTGCCCAGGCTGGACTGCAATGAGCAATTCAGCTCACGGCAACCTCCGCCTCCTGGGTTAAAGTGATTCTCCTGCCTCAGCCTCCAGAGTGGATGGGATTACAGGCATGTGCCACCATGCCTGGCTAATTTTGTAGGTTTAGCAGAGGTGGGGTTTCTCCATGTTGGTCAGGCTGGTCTCGAACTCCCGACCTCAGGGGATCCGCCCGCCTCGGCCTCTCAAAGTGCTGGGATTACAGGCATGAGCCACTGTGCCTGGCTGATTTTTCTTATATTTACTGTTTCTCCACAGAGGGCAGATGTGTCTACCACAGTTGCAGAACACTGAATTAAAGTATGAAACTAGTTAATCTGCATTTGTTTATTAACATCTGTGTTAAATTTGTCATATCTGACCAAAGACTTTCAATTATATCACAGTTGTAAAAATTTACTCACACAAGTTTTTGTTTCCCCTTGAGCTATGTCTTTAGATTATGTTTTAATCTTTCCAAAAATAGTTTATAAATAAAACACAATTGTGAATATGTCAAGCACCTGTAAAAACAGTTGAGTGAGGGAGAGATCAAAATAGCAATATAAGGCAATCAACATATACTAGTATATAATTCATATGATATGGATAATTTTCCCTCCAAATCTCATGTTGAAATGTGACCCCCAATGTTGGAGATGAGGACTAGGGGGAGGTGTTTGAATCCTGGGGTGGATGCCTCATGAATGGCTTGATGCCGTCTCCGTGGTAAGGGACGAATTCTTAGTCTATTAATTCACGTGAGATTTGTTTGTTAAAAAATATCAGGGACCTATCCCTTTTCTCCTTCCCTACCTCTCTCTCCATGTGACATATCTGCTCTTCCCTCTTGTCTTCTGCCATGAGTAAAAAAGCTTCCCCAGGCCTCAGCAGAAGCTGAAATGGGTGCTGGAACCACGCTTGTACAGCCTGGGTCTACGGGCGCCAGCCAAAACGCCCGGCTAATTTTTTTGTATTTTTAGTAGAGATGGGGTTTCACCGTGTTAGCCAGGATGGTCTCGATCTCCTGACCTCGAGATCCTCCCGCCTCGGCCTCCCAGAGTGCTGGGATTACAGGCGTGAGCCACCGTGCCCGGCCGATTTCAGAATTTTAAAAAATGAAGTGAGAGACATATTAAACCGTGTTTATAATAGCAGTTGTTATAGTCAAAATTTCAGTTATTTATAAACTCCCTCCAACTAAGAGGTATTATAGCTTTTAATCTTTTAAAAATATTAAATGATAATGACTTTTGTTGCTATAAAATATTGTAACAATTTAAAATTTAAGAGAGTTTATTTTGGATTTTATAGAGGTGTAACATACCTCTTATTACAAGTATTTATTCTCCTTGGATTCTGTATACACTTCCCTTTTTTATCACTCAGTATTTCTACCTATTTTTTTCTTAAACTAGCCAGATATCTTGACAAAACTATTTAGAAAAAGGATGATTCATTTGAAAATGTTCACAAACTAATTATTTCTATGTTTATACTTTCTTCTTGCCAACCTCCTTTTATCTTTATAGCACTTTCAATTCTGGATAAGAAATGAAAAGAGAAAAAACACAAAAGTCAATGGCAGTTTTTATTAGCAGCTAAGATTTTTGTCTGTTTATAAAATTGATGCTATGAACTAAAATTAGGTTTGAGAGGACAGTTCACTTAATCTATGTTATTTCTTGTCAAAATAATGAAAGATTGGAAGTTCTTTTATTTCATAGGTCACTTATGATCAATTTATGAGTCTTCTCATACATACTACTTAAATATTCAATAAATTAACCTGGCTCACAATGATAATTTTTGAATATATAATTGAAAAATCTCTAAAATACCATGGATTTGAGTTGTACTGACACTCATCTGCATTTTTTTCTGAGCCCTTTTGTATGATTTAAGGAAGATACACTTGCTTATTCTTTTAGATTTTAGAATCTCCCATCTCTGATTATCATAATCAAAATGAATGAGGAATAAGTATCCACAAGAAGCTATAACCTCTGAGAATTTCCCAGGTAAGACACTACACTGTATTCCTAAATTTTTCTAGCAAATAATTGTTCTCCAAATGAAGTCTACAAATAACACCCTACCTATCTTCACATAATCAGTTAGTAATTTCTTTCTTATTACTGAGTCACAAAAGTTTGAGTCCTATGTACTTTTATTTTTATTCTTTTGACTTTTTTTTTGCTATAAGTATATGTGACTCATGCACTAGAGAGATGGGTAAGGAAAAAAAATGCTTTTGAAAGACCGAATACTCTGTGATGAAACGCTAGCCCCAGATCTATTCTTGCTTCTTTTGAATTTACTACTAATTACACAATTATGTGTTACTGCATTATTTTACTAAATTCCAAAGTTAAAAGACTGATTATCAGAGAAGTTAATTTTGACCTTTCACTTGAAAGGTCAAGGTCATTTGTAATTATTTTCTGTTAGAATTCCCTTCCTCTAGAGGAAAGAAAAAAATGTATTGCAGAGGGGAAAATTCAGCTAAGAAATTGAAATAGGCTATGTTCCTTTATTCTGGAACTTTGCAAAGAAGGGTATTAGGAATACAGAAGAGGCAGTATTAACTTTAACAAAGGCAACAGGAAATTGTTTGCTGAACTATGACCCTGTAGTAAAACTGAAGTCTGATCACATCCAGATATATGGTAAGATATGGATTTGGACATTACCTCATCCTGAATCTTCTTGGCATCAATAGTAATGTGTTTTGAGACCTATAAACTCATAAATCTAATTTTGGAACTTTATTTTGAGATTATTTTACATGGGATTATACATTAACACATATATGCATGAGCGCTATTGACAGATACTTCATTTTTAATAGGTTGTCCCTAGAAGTGCCGAGACTGACATTTTATCAAATCCTGGTATGACAATTTATTACATTTTTTGTTTTGATAGATGGTGTATTCCATGATTATATAACTCAATACCAGACCTAGGGAGAAAATAATTTTCTTTGATTTAGAAATCAGTTACTTCCAGGTGTTTTTTGTTTGTTTGTTTGTTATTATATGCAGCAATGGCATCTTTTGACACCTTTAGTGTAGGTTTACCTTTTTATTAGGGAGCAAACACATTCCTAACTCACTAAGTGCAGCATTCCTGAAGAGTAATCATTTTTTTTCTCATATTACTCTCATATTCTTCTCATATATTTCTTATATTCCTTGAAAATTTTGTGAATGTTTTATCTGGGTTCCACCTGAATATATACAAAGAAGAGATGGATTATAAAGAAATGTGTTTGCAATATGAACCCAGCTGACACTAAAAAGATGCACATTTTATTTTTAAAAAATTATATAAAAAGCATATACAGTAATTTAAAATCAAGTGATAAATTAAGACATTATATTGCTGCTTTCTTTTGGATAGAAAAAGAACAACAACATATTTTATTTCAATTTTCTTCCTAGACTTTATACTTACTTTGTATTTTCCTATCTTAAATATACAAAAACTATATGCTTCACAAAGAAAAGTTTTATTGACGCTAAACTCAGCTGATGCATAGTGATTTTATTTAAAGATTGCATTATTTAAAAGTGTACATGCTAACTTAAAATCAGATATTATACTAAGAAGTGTTATAGCTTTTAAAATATCATTTGAAAATTCAAAACTAGTCCCTTCGGTGATCCTTCAGTATTCTATTTTTTTAAAATTTTTATGTTAGGTTTGAGTGTACATGTGAAGGTTTGTTATGGAGGTAAACATGTGTCACAGGGGTTTGTTGTACATATGATTTAATTACCCAAGTATTAACCACAGTACCCAATAGTTATCTTTTCTGCTTCAAAGAAATTAGAAGGAAAATTTTACCTTCTGCAAGATTCTTTTTCATTTTCTACATTCAGCTGCTTTATGTTTTCTGTATAAATACATGTAAATCTAAAACTCAATCTACAATAGGAAGGTGATTTTACAGGCAAGATCTTTGAAACTGATGGTTTGAAATATATTAGGAAAAAAACGAAACTGTAAAGCAGTTATATAACCGTTTTAATGATGGGCAAAGGTAATACTTTATTCTTGTTATTGAAGTGAATAGACCTTATGGTACTTTATTTCTTGTTTCTGAAATGTCTAAGGTTTTGATACATTTAGACATTTATTGAGGTAAATATTATTTATCTATGGGGTGAATATACCAGTTATAAAGTCCTCAATTATTTTATTCATGTCACCTGCCTATTCATATAGATAGTACTCATTTATTTAGGGTCTTTATAGAACTTCATTTCTTTCATATCCCCCAACTGATAATTATTAACATCATTTCTGAGCTTTATCACAAAGACTCCCCTGAATATTCCAAACTCTATTCATTTGACTGTACTCTTACTCAATTTTTATTTATTTATTTTTTTTGAAGAAAATACTTAGCTTTTGGTCACTTACTGTCCTATACTAACACTTATTGTTAAATATTTCCATATTTAAACATCTTGTAAGGGAATAGGACCAATATATTGTGGGCCTCCGAGCTAATCTTAGTAGATACATTAAAAAGTACTGGTTAATTAATCAATTACGTGATTTATTATGAATTTCTCTGCTTCAAGTATTTTAGAAAACCTAAAGGCAGGAATTGGGGTGATGCAGCTAAAACCCAAGGAACTAAGAATTGACAAAAAGTAATAGAAGCTAGAAGAAGCAAGGAAAGCATTATTTCCTAAAATCTTCAGAGGGAGCATGACCCTGCTAACACCTTGGTTTCCAACTTCTAGCCTCCAGATGTGTGAAAGAAGGAATTACTTTTGTGGTAAGTCACCCAGCTTGCAGCACTTGACTCCAAAAGTACCAGGAAATTAATATAGATTTTTCTGCTGAGCGGTGGAGTGCTGCTGTAATAAATACCTAGAAATGTTTTCACTGACATGATTCTTCATGTCCGCGACTTTACCAGAATTAACTAACATTCATATTTCTAGCAACATTCTGTATATGATGACATGTGTATTACCTTAGATGATATTACTTTTAACGGCAAAAACCGTGGTTACTTTTGCACCACCCTAGTAGAAACATTCTCTACCAACCTCTTCGCTTCCTACTAAGCCCTCATCAAAATCACATTTAACATCTATATTTCTACCAACAATCACTTCAAAGGAATCTATGCTTTATCTATCATATGCTTCAAAATCCTTCCAGCAGCTACCCATGACTTACCATGATTTTTGCTATTTGTTACTGCAGCACCCCACTTCTTAGTCAGCAGGACCATGCTCTCTCTGAAGGTTCTAGAAAAGTATTTTTCCTTGCCTCTTTCAGCATCTGGTGTCTGCTGGTAATCCTTGAAGCTTCTTGGCTTGTAATCCGTCACTCCAAGTTCTGCCTTTCATATGGTATTTTCCATATGAAAATTCCATATGAAATTTCACATGGTATTTTCCCTGCATGTCTTTGTAGGTCTTCTTATAAGAAAATAAGTCGATGGATTTAGGACCTTCTATAATTCAGTATAAACTCAACTAATTACATCTGCAAGGCCACTGCCTCCTTATGGATGTGGAAGTAAAATGTCTGTTAATAAAATACATTTTCATTTGTTCCATATTGTTTATATTCTTCTATATGTTTCGGGGATGGAAATTAGTGGAGCTGAAGTAAATCTGTTTTCTGATTCACCATGCAGAAGAAAAAAAAACTGGCATTTTTACTAGGTAAAAGTTACCACAAGAGCAAATAAAAAGAGACAAAATGGTCTTCCTTAAGATCTATAATGAGCTATCATAAAGCAGATAAATAATTATGTAATTACAGTACTTTGGGAAAATGAGGTAGCAGGATTGCATGAGCCTATGAATTTAAGGCTGCAGTGAACTATGTTCGAGCCACTGCTCTCCAGCCAGAGTCACAGAATGAGGCCCTTTCTAAAAAAAAAAAGGAAAAGAAAAATATTAAGGGTAAATTATGTTAGGAAGCAATGTTGGAGTTGAAAACAGAATAGAACTTTCTAACAATTAGTTCTAGTGAGTCCTTAATAGAAGTTAAATTTTGCTGAGTTATTTATAAAATTCATTCACATAGAGTGCCTTGGTGAGTCTTTAATATCATTAAAATATTATTATTCTTATCATTTTACCAACAGCATCCTAAATAAAATTCAGATAATTTAACTACTATTACTAAATGTATTTCTCTTCTCTTTTACAGTAGCACAACTATTTCAAAACTTTCCTAAAAATGCACAAGTAGAGATTATTTTATATATGATAATATACCGTAAAATCAACTCTACAAATGTAAGTTATTTTCTTTGTGAAATAAAAACATGACTCATACAGATTTAATAAGCTGATAAGATCACAATATGGATGAATATATTGATAAGGTCACAATATGGATTTATTTCCTCTCAGTTACCTCCTGCCTCTGAAGCTAATGTTCTGTCCATATAATCCCAGTATCATATAAAATAGTTTTGTAGGGAGAAATGGTTGACTTAAATTGACACTAGACTTGATGATCTTAGAGTACTCATTCACTTAAAGATATTATTTTATGATTACATTACAATTTAGAAATATAGTTACTAGATTGACGAATCATCAGTGATCCAGATACATCTTAAATAAGGTAACTTTTTAGTCTGTTGATGCAAGCAAGAAATAGTACATTGGCTGAAAATTGGTGAAACACTAAAGTACAAGAACAGGATTCAGAAAGCTTTTAAAATGTGATGATCCAGTGATCCAAGGTTGGCTCTACTAGGCACATGTTTCCTAACTGAATTATTCTTATCAAACTTATCTCTTGTAGAATTATGTCAAGTAAGATTTGGAGATTGAGTTTATGATATGAGTATAAACAGCCTATGGCTGACTCTTGCCTATGTATTTTCTTTATATTCTGGAAATGGCTTCTTTATTACTTTATCTGAAATGCTACCTATTGAAGCTTCTGATTTTCAATTTTTCAATTACTCAATCTTCTAAAACAGGGGTGTCCAATCTTTCGGCTTCCCTGTGCCACGTTGGAAGAAGAAGGATTGTCTTGGGCCACACATAAAGCACACTAACACTAACAATAGCTGATGAGCTAAAAAAATTGCAAAAAAATTTCACAATGTTTTGAGAATTTTACAAATTTGTGTTGGACCTGAGCCTCAAAGCTGTCATGAGCCTCATGTGGCCGGGGGCCACAGGTTGGACAACCTTGTTCTAAAACATTCAGCTTAGTGTGGCTGAAACCAAGTTAAAACCAACTTTTGTTCTGTGTTATTATGTTTTGTTTGTTTGTTTGGAGATGACCACAACAAGGCTAAGAGTAAGAGTGATTCACTTAAGAGAATAAAGGGTAAGTGCATGGCCCAAGGGACTAGAGAGGTTGATTTCTTGTGGTGCTCTGGCCAGCATTGGCTGTAGAAGGTTAACATGATGCCCAGGGGGAAATAAACACCAAAGAAGCAAAAGGGCCATGAATGCAAGGAAGCAAGAACCAAAAGACCACCTTTATCTCCTCTTAACTGCCAGCTTACCATTCTTTAATTATAACTTCTTACAAGTTGATCTCTACAAATTCTTCCTACTTCATTTTCCTTTGTTTTAATGCCACTTAGAAAATTTTCCATGAGGATTGCTGAGTCTGCCATGGACAAGTAGGTAGATAAGTTTTAGCATTCCTGCCCCTTCAAAGGCAGACAGTGAGTGAAAGATTTCAGCTTACACGAGCGGCAGCATCTACTTTCACACTGTGTGGGAGAGTAATATAAAGGTGGAGCCTACATACCCTTGTGACCAGCAAGTGTATTATGCATGCCATTGGCTGTCACTACACAGCAGCGAAGACAGAGCAGAGCTGTGAGTATTTGTACAGAGTAATGTTAGGGCACACTGAAAAAATGTGACCTCTTTCTTAATGAAAGTATAAGAGCATTGCCTAGAGTAGGCTTTACAGATGTGTCTGTATCAAAAGAGAACAGGCAGCTGAGTTAAAATTCCAAAGCATTGGCTGGGCGTGGTGGCTCATGCCTGTAATCCCAGCTCTTTGGGATGCCCAGGCTGGCAGATCTTGAGATCAGGAGTTTGAGACCAGCCTGACCAACATGGTGAAATCCCATCTCTACTAAAAATACAAAAATTAGCTGGGCGTGGAGGCATGCGCCTGTAATCCAGCTACCCAGGAGGCTGAGGCAGGAGAATCACTTGAACCCGAGAAGCGTAGGCTGCAGTGAGCTGAGATTGCACCACTGCACTCTAGCCTGGGCAACAGAGTAAGACTCCATCTCAAAAAAAAAAGTCCAAACCATTAGGAATTATATGTTTCAAATTAAAGCAAACTTTATGAAGCATACATTATATTGTTAATTTTCAATTGCTTAAATTGATTAATTCAAAATTAGTCAAATGTATTCCTTACTTTGTTTTCATAACTATCGTTAATATGATGTTCCAAGTCTGTATTTGGATAAAGAGTCATTATTAAAGCACCTCAGTGGTGTCTAAAATGCAAAAGTTTCTCACTAAATATTTATTTCAAATTAAATAAAATCTAAAACATGGATAATTCAGACATGCAAAATATCAAAGATTACTTTTTATAGTGATCATAGGTTTAATACATAATTAGAAGCTAAAATAAACATATCCGAAATTAAAACAATATGATAACTGTGAGGTAAGTGTCCAATGTTTGAAAATGAGAACGTGGTATTTGCTTCGATCAAATAAGTAATATTCAAGTTTTAAAACACTTTCCTAAAATCATTGTGACATGAAGGCTGATAAGCCAATAGAAGCAAGAATTTTCCAAGTCAGGAAATCTGAGCTTGTCCATTACTATGTGTGTGATTCTGGGCAGTTTAAATTTCTGAGCCTCATTATCTTTATTGGGAATAGCAGTATTACCTGCAGCTTTTATATCAGGATGAAACTAACTATATGCAAACCATCTACTACTGGGTATAGGTGCTTGGTAGGCAAACACTAAGTTTAACTTTCTATAAATATCATTAATGGAAACTAGTATATAATGCAGGCCTTAAAAAAAGACCACAGCTAAGAAGGCTCCTACTAGGCTCATTGTTTTACGTTCATACTCCACAGTCTTATAGATAATTCAGGCCCAACGATAGTAATCTTTATCATTTGGCAAAATTCTATCTTTTATATGTTATGGTCCCTCAAACATGCAGTAATGTGTAGCATTAATGGACATCAAGTATTAAATGTAAAGGCTAAAATGAAATATATTGTAAATAAATAAATTATTTTTAAATTGTAGGTGATTTTAAAAAATCTTTCATATATTGTCTTTTCAAGAAACAGTGGTGGAACAAGTGGGCATTTACGTGCAAATAAATGATCTAGATACAGACCTTACAACCTTCACAAAAATTAAATCAAAATGGATCATATACCTCAATGTAAAATGCAAAACAAAAATTCTGAGAAGATAACATAGAAAATCTAGATGATCTTGGGCATGGAGATGACTTTATACAGGTACCACCAAAGGCACTATTTTAAAAAAACATTATACACTAGACTTAATTAAAATTAAAAACTTCTGCTCTGTAAATGACACTGTCAAGCAAATGGGAAAACAAGCCATAGACTGGCATAGAATAAGTACAAAACAAAACAAATCTAATAAAAGATTTTTACCTAAATTATACAAAGAACTCTTAAAATTCAACAAAAAGAAAATGAACATTTGGATAAAAAAGAGGGAAAGACCTAAACAGATAACCTCAGCAAAGAAGGTATATGTATGGCCATAAATATATGGAAAGATGATCCACATTACATGTCATCAGGGAAATGTAAATTAAGACAACAATGAGATAAAATTAGAATGGTCAAAAGTCAGACAACTGACAACACCAAGAGCTGATGAGGATGTGGAACAACAATTCTTCATTCATTGTTGGTGGGAATGCAAAATTGTGCAGCCACTTTAGTAGACGGTTAGTTGCTTAGAAAGCAAAACACAGACTTATTATGATATGCAATCCAGCAATCACGTTCCTTGGTATTATTTACCCAAATGTGTTGAAAATGCATATCCGTGCAAAAATCTCCACACAAAATGCTTATAGCAGCTTTATTTATATTTGTCAAATCTTGGAAGAAACCAAGAATTTCTTTAGTAAGTAAATGGGTAAATAAGTTGTGGTACGTCATGGAATATTATTCAGTGCCCAGGAAGAAATGAGCTGTCAAGAAATGAAAGGACATTGAGGAATCTTTAATGTGTATTACTGAGTGAAAGAAGCCAGTTTGAAAAGGATATATATTATGATTCCAACTCTATGACATTCTAGAAAACACAAAACTATCACAGCAGTAAAAAGATCAATAACTAGACAAAGCTCAGGCAGTTTTTAGGACAGTGACACCATTCTACAGAATACTACAATTGTGGGGACATTGGTCAAAACCCACAGAATATAGAAAAATGAACACTAACGTAAACAGTTCACTTTGGGTGATAATAATGTGTAAAAGTAGGTTCATTAATTATAACAAATGCACCAGCTTGTTGCTAGATATTGATAGCTGGGGAGGCTGTGCTTGTGTGGGAACAAGGGATATATGGCAACTCTGTACTTTTTAGTCAACTTTGCTGTGAACCCAAAACTGCTCTAAAAAATAAAGTCCATTTAAAAGGGAACAAAATTCCTCACACTATATGGGTGTCTCTTTAGGATTCAAATGACACATTCATTGAGATAGTAATCTTTAACTTACAAGCTGCACCATGAAAACAAAGGTTACTACAGTCAGATATCTTAAAACATTAAAACATGAAAATATCTGTCACCATAATCTTTGTGTATATGATAATTCTAATAACACTTAAATCACATATTGTTTATAGAAGTTTTAAATTAATGTATTATCATTAGAACTGTCTGTATGTTAACTACTTTGTCAATATTTTATTCTATGAAATAAAACAAATTCCTAAAAGTTGGTATTGATAAATAGTAAATAAGTATTCAGAATTAGAAAAAAGAAACCAAACAATGACTTTCTGGTTGCCAGATGTACATGTTGTTCAGTCTGATAAATCAGTCAGCATTTGTAAAGCTGTATCTAAAATCTGCTAATATATCATTCTGAATAATCTAGAATTAGGTACTCCATGACTAAAGTTAGTGAAGTGTCTCCATTTTTTTCAATAAGATGTTAAAAACTCACAGTGTCCTACCTAAACATAGAAGCAGCGTGTGCACAATGGCAAAACGTACGTTTTCTGTGATTTCACATGCCCTGTAAATATGTTTGATTATAACAAGAGTCTGATGAGGACCACTGCCCTGAGAATAAAGCAAAACAATGTAAATTAACAGCATCAATCAAACAGGGTTCCAATTCTGGCCTTGTTACTCTCACTACTTATATAGTGCTAGGCAAACCCCTTAGCTCCTTCATTTTCTAAAAGAGAAAGTTAGAATTGATAAAGTTTATGATGTGCTTATATCTAGGAATTGTGTTTGCTGTATCACAGTGCATTGTTTTCTTCAAATATATATTCGTTAAACCAAAGTACTTCGGAATGCTAGGAACAGGCCCAAATTGTGTCCATGGAAAACTTACTGGATGAAACCATACGTAGCATTTAAACTGATCTGATTTTTGAGGATCAGAACTCCTTTGAACCCTAATGTTAACTTTCTTCTACTATGTATTGCTATATTAACATATGGCATTATTTATTATGCAAAGACAATAACAAGGGCTTATAAGTCTTTTGATTACTTACAACACCAAGGAAATGGATGAAAATACACTTAACATACATTCACTAATGGTGATTTCATCACTGATAACAATATGAGTTTAAAATAAATCAAGTTCATTTTGGCAAGAATGATTATTTTTGTGTGTAGTGTCTCTTCAAGACTTCTATAAAACCAAATACAATGAAATGCCATTTCAATGCCCAGAAATTTTCTACAAGACAAGCAATTCAAAATACCTTACTCATTATATAATCCATTTTCTCACTGGTAGAACCTAAGAGATGTGAAGAGGCAAATAATTACCTGTGGAAGGTCAGGTCTTCCTGCTCTTCCTGTTTCAAAATTCTAAACCAAAAGTACTCTTTTTAGAAAGTGTACAATTTTAAATAATTTAAATTGGAAATACGTGAACCTGTGTGTGTGTAAATTGTTGTTTTGAATTGTTTCCTTTCTTCATTCACTAATCTGCTGAAAGACATTTACTAACAGAAGAGTATTTGTCTATTTGATTTTGCTTTCAAAGCAGCTAGAAGAGGATTTTACATCTGGCAGTCTTCTTTATGTTACCTATACATAAGAATTAATGCAAATATAATAAATAAAATTTGCCTTTTAAAAAAAGCTAGTTGTAAGACAGATAATGTTTTTTTCCAAAAAATATTTGGTTGTTAAATAATATAATTATCAATGTGATCATTCTTGATGTGGCTGCCAGATATAAGACCACTCCTCCTGAGAAAGTCTTTTAATTGTGTCTTATTTTACAATAAAAGCTTGTCCTTTTATGATACCCCAACTTCTTCATAGAAGTGCTCTACAGGGAAAAGAAATAGAGAAGAACCCTCAAATTCACTGTAAAACCATTTCTTAACTACCAGGAGATTCAGCCTTCCCTTCCCAAATAGTTACCACCTGTATACACATGGGCAATTTTCTTTTTATGTAGAAAACAATCTCCTAAAATAATCTTGCAGAAACTCATATATGGGGAACCTTGGTGAGCTGTCTTTGGATATTTGTGTTGATTTTTATTAAAAAATAAACAGTTTATGGCAAAACAATTATTCAAGTTGGTAGTATTCCTCTTCTTAAAAAGTGCTGTTGATTACATAGTTATTAGCTATCATAAAATAATGAGAAATGCAAAATAAATTACAGGTATATTGAGATGACTTACCACATCTTTATTAGGTCTCTCTCTCTCTCTCACCTGTTTTTGTATGTGTGTGTGTGTGTGTTTGTACATACATATACATATAATATATGGAAGGGCATAAAGGAAGAGAATAAACCATTATTTTTAAAAGTGTCATTTTAATGACAAAGGGATGCTCGTGTCACATTCTTTAATCCTGAATCAAGGATTAAGCATTTTTAATTAATTGGGCAAAGGCATTCAGGCAGCTTAAGGCAGCTTAGATAGTGCTGCAGTTTATTTAATATTATAGCAGCAGGGAAGGGCTTTCTCTCCTCCATGATATAAGAGATTCTTTCAAAGAGGGTAACATCACTGATATAATTCTTTCTTATAGAGAGGAAAATTTCCATCCCATTGATGGAGATAAATGAAAGATATCAGAAGAACACTTTTATAACTTTACAGTAAGTAATTTCATGTAATTTAGTAAAAAATGGTTTGTTAAATAAGTATTAATACAACCAATATCAAATAAATTGACTTATATTAAAAAGATTTATCCAGGATGATTATACACTACTACCACTATATTACAAAATTTCATTTTTTGGACATGAGTCATAAATTGCATTGATGTGCAGTGGGCAAAATGTAACTTCTGTTTAAATCAAGAAGCAAAGCTAAGATAATTAAAAGTCTACTTTTTTTTTTTTTAATGGCCAGGTTCAGGTGAATAACGCTGAGGATACTGAAAGAGGAATTGGAATTCTGAATCTGTCAATTAGCTGCTGAAAGAGACCAAATTGATTGCTTAAGTGAACAATCAAACAAGGAGTATAATAAAAGTTATTCTTTAGTGGGAAGGAGAAGAAATTGGAAATTCAGGTCAAATAATCAAAGTTCTGAGAAAGTCTCATAGATCCCAAAGAATTAGAGACCATCATTACCTTTCTCAACTCTCAACAACCAGTAGGAAAACAAATTCCACAAAGAGTCGTGAATGAAACATTTAAACCGTTAAAATCTCTTGTTTTTGGAAACGATTGTAATTTCCATGTCAGTTTTAAGTTACATTCAGAATAAGGATTGTACTTTGATTTTGGGGATATACTTACATGGCTTCTTAAACAACTTTGTTCCTCTTCATTATAAGTTAAAGAGTGAACATTATTACTTTAGGCAATTAACGACAAATAAAGATTAAAGAAATATTTCCCCCATCCCAAAGAAAAGAATGTTCTTGAGGGCATGTCTCTGTCTGCATTCATAGATCCCTTCCAAGCGTTCTCCAGGCATTGGAATATCTTAAGTCTTCCTAATACCTCTATGTACCTGATCAGAATTAGAAAATATTGGCAGATACTGGACTGAGTAAAAGAAGGGCAATAACATGAATTCTGGCCTTTATTTGTTCTTCTCTTGAGAATGTAATTTTTAAAATAATGTTTTGGAGATTTTACTATTTACCATGCTGAATATTTTTTAGTAGATAAACATCCAGCATTTCATATGCACACACATTTTCCCTTAGAAATTATTATTTAAAGAATTTCCACCTTTATGCTTCCAAACTTTGGAAGCTAATGAAGAAATGTTGGTTTTCAATAAACCTTTTAATACATAACTCTTGATTGATTTTCATTAATATCTACAATAACTTAAAGAAAAAAGCTCATGATATGATTTTACATTACTTATAGTCTTCATACTATGCAGCACAGCCCATATTGTTTTTATCAACAAGAAGGCTTCTTATTAAAAATAAAATAAATAATGTATATTCTGCCATTAGTGCAAAGTTGGATATTAAAAGCCAAAATATTTAATAGACCATTTAAGAATCACTGAAATATTGTGGAGTAAATTGAAGGGAGTACTTCCTTATGGAAAATGTGTTCCTTCATAGCCCAGTACATGACTCTGTGTGGTGTTCAGAAAACATTCCCAGATTACCTTGACTAATTTCACTTTGCCTTGTGAAAGTGTGCAGGTATGATTGATTCTATAATTAGAAACGATAGAAATAAAACATTTCCTTTTACGTTGCATTAGAAAATGATTTGCTTGAAAGGGAAAACTGCTAGACATACTTTAAATTTGGCTCCCTGTTAAGCATACCAAAAATCAAATAGTCTTTTTCACAACATGAACAAGATACTTCTGTGTGTAAACAACAAATAGAAACCTCCTGCAGTGTGTGTGTGTGTGTGTCTGTATGTTTGTGTGTATGTGTGTTAATCCTTACTTGATTGCATGACAAGTAAAGCTTGTCGTGCATTTAAGAAAGCACATTTAAAAAAGAGTTTTCATTTTAGTTTTATTGTAGTGAGTAGTATTTTTAATTTTCTTGAAAGGCACCCAAGAATAATTACTTTTGTGAACCAAAACTATATAAAACTGTACAGAATAAATATTTCATAGAAATCTAACTATGCCTTCTTGTAAAATAAAGCTACATTGTCCCTCTCTTGAGGCAACTTAAACCACTTACCTTTAGAAGTGCCTTTTGCTACTGATTTATGGCATCTATCAATGTACATCAATAAAAATAAAATAATTTTTCCTATTTACTTTACAACTGTGAATTACTTGCCACAAGAAATGTATTTCTATTATGGTCATTCAGATTTACAAAGAATTAAGCCTATGAAATAAAGCAAACCCAATATATTCTCTAGTCATATTTACAGCAGAATCTCAGTAGCATTTTTAAAATATCCCAAGAAGAAGAATTAAACTTTGAGCATAAATGACATACTTTAGTTCACAGCAGCACTGACATTAAAATTGTCTACACAAAATGTGTAGAAAACCCAAAAAGTATGCTTATTTCTTCCACCTGAACTATTAATCATTTTAACTTTTTAATTTAGAATGCATGAGAGTGGCATTTGTTTAAGCTCAAATGTTCAAAGTTTTGAGCCACCCATGGCCTATATAATTGCAACCTTTCTATTTTTTCTTCACTATTACTATTTATAATTGTCAAGTTCCAGTTTCTTTTGCATTTATTGCAAGAAAGTTAGGTATGTTTGACAATACACATTTTTGAAGTACATACTGGTTATAAACAATGTATTCCTTACATATTATAACTACATATACAAGTATGGTTTTTAAATGATGAAATCCAATTGTAATTAATCTATAGGGAAAGCAATTCAAGAAAATTCGGGATACTTAAATGTTCAGCCTTTTTAGATGTGCAAGAGGACTCCTATGAGACACTTTTCAGTATATGAAATATTACTATAATCCTTGAATGATTTACATGCAAGGATTTATTTTATTTGGGACAGACTAAATTGCCTGAAGATAATGCCATGGCTTCTCCCAGTGATCCCTGAGTTTCTTTTTCTTCTTCTTTTTTTTTCCCCATAGTTTACTGCTGTGCTTAGGTTCTGATTGATGACACACTCACGTAAGGCACTTATTTACAAGGTATGGACTTAAAACAGAATCACAGCATTTCTGCGAAAGCCCTCAAACTCTCCATCTATGTTTGCTGCTCCAGGACTTCTAAATAGTCAGGTTCAGCATGTAAATTAGCTTTAAGTTCAAAATACTCATTTTTTGTCTGTTCCACTAATACCTTCCTTGGACGTGAGTACATTAATGTTTCCATTAACTTCAGCTCTTCGTGGGCTCCAGGATAATGTGCCTCCATATCAGGCTGGAGCTGAGCAATGTTTTTCCTTAGGTATTCTGTGATTCCCAGTTGCTGAAGTTCCCTTTCTTTTTCTAAAATGTTTCTGTACAATGAGCTGGCATCTTGGAAGGATAAAAATTCTGTTGATTGGTTCGTGGTTTTGTATTTCATATTTGACCCTGTGAGTGGTGAATGATTTTCCTGTTCCAAAAGACTTCTTTGGAGATGTTTTGCATCACTTCCTTCTTTCTCATTCCTCTCTTCTTCCTCTTCCAGATGCTTTGGACCAAAGGATGGACTTCTATAGACATGAACCATGGGGCTCACCATGTGCTGTTCATAGAGTGAGGCAGAGGGTCTTTCAGTAGTGTGATGAGTGGTTTTATGGCCATACATGCTGTACTGAAGATGCACAGGACTGTTGTCTCTCATTTGCTCATCTACTTGTTTCTTTTTGTATCTTCTCCTGCGGTGAAGAACAAGAACCACTATCCCTGCAGCACAGAAAACAATAGTGATGAACATAATCAGAAGTCCCAATATTAGAACAGACAGTGGCACAGCGTCCGTAAGAGATCGTAAAATAGTATCAGCCGTATTTGTTGTTGTTGCAGGAGTGGTGACCATAAGGTAACTAGTCTGTGTTGGCATGGATGGGTTATTTACTAAACCTGGACAGAGAATTTCACTATTTAGGGCTTTCAATTCCTTTTTGTCGAGATGCCCGGGGGAAGTGCAGAGGATGTCATCTGTCACTGTGTTCTTGCTTAACTTTTGTATCCATTGCTGCAGTCCAACCAGGTCACAGGAGCAGTCCCAGGGGTTATCCTCAAGGTCAATCTGGGTTAGCAAATCAAGATCATCCAAAATATTACTTACAGGTAGATGGGTAAACTGGTTTGTTTTAAGATTTACCTTAGTTAGAGGAACCCCTGAAAAAATATGTGGTGGTAAAACTTGGAGGAGGTTGTTATTTAAATACAGGACTTTAAGTTTAGGCATTGGATTAAAGGTTCCTGGCAGTATTTCCTTAATGGCATTGTATTCAAGATATAAGTATTCAAGATTATGGAGACCAAGGAACATGCCTTTACTTAATTTGGTCAGGTGGTTACCATTTAGATAGAGTTTTTGTAATCTCGTTAGGTTCATAAACGATCCTTCTTCAAGAACTTCAATACGATTGTTTCCCAAGTGAAGCATTTCCAAAGTGAAATATTCCACTAGATCAGACTTCATTAAACTGTGAATAATATTTCCCGCTAGAATGAGCTTTCTAGGATTTTGCGGAGGAGGTCTCAGATCTGATAAGCTTTCAATGTTGCGCTCCTGACAATGTATTAGAAGTCCTGATGGGGATAGGACTTTGCAGTTACAAGGAATAGGGCAGTAAGGTCCTGGAAGTTGAGTGGATGGCTTTGTAATATAAGGTATCAAACCTGGTGCTTTGGTGGGTAGTTTTAGAATGGACGTGGTCTTAGTTGACATGCGACTATCATTTATTGAAGATGTTGCTGCCAGATGTAATGATCCTGAAGGATCCTCATGTTCTTCATACACTGGTGGAGTAGGGCAAATAGATTCCTTCTTTAGTCTACTGAGTATACTTCCTTTAAAAAATGGAGGGCTGTTGCAGACAACATCACCAATTATAGACTGTGGAGGCATGTTCTCCAACCAAGTTTTTAACTGCAATAAGTCACAATTGCAGGCCCATTTGTTGTCCTCCAACTGAAGATCCAATATTCGGCCAATGTGTTCGAGAAAACCAACATAAGGCAATGTTTGTAATTGATTTCCACGAAGATCTAGATGGGTTAAAGGAACAAATCGGAAGATGTTTGGAGGAAGACTCTCAATAGCATTGTCATTTAAAATTAACACTTTGAGTCTGTTGAGCTTGCTAAAGGCACTTGGTTCAATCACTGTGATAAAATTGTTATCTGCTTGCAGGAATTCCAGGTTTTCCAGTCCATGGAAAGTATCCTCTTTAAGAATTTCTAAAGAATTGTGATTGATATGAAGTTGTTTCAGGAGGCCAAGGCCATTAAATGCACCTATCTCAATATCTGCAATATTGTTAAATCCAAGGTGTATTGAAATAGCATTGGTAAGCCCAGAAAAGTCATTTGTGTGAAGCATCGTCAAGCCGTTATTTAATAAGCTTAGTTGGAAAGGTCGTGATGGTGGCACACTTATTTCAGATACCATCTTGATACCTTTTGCTTCACAATTTATTAGCATTGTGCCATCTTTTTCCTCACAATTGCAAAGAGAATCACAAGAGCCTCTGGATGAGAGCACTGGAGTTTGGGAGTGTAAAGATATACAGGCAAGGAGAGATGAATAAAAGAGATGAATCCACAGCTTCATGTTGTCATGTGATGAAATCCGATTCTGTAAAATAAAACGCAATAGCAAGGGACTTTAGTGGGCAGAACTGGGGAGGAGATGAAGCTGATATTTTCAAAATAATAGGTTTTTCTCCAAAAAGCAAATGACGGATTACCATGAAAATATGGGTACCTTGCTGCATTTACATCATTTGTTTCTTTTTTTTTTTTCCTAATACTCAGACAGGCAAGTCTGGCTGACTTTTAACTTGCATTGTGTTCAAAATATAAAATTTAGGTCAAGGGGGATTTAAAATATTATATCATAAAATTTGTGCTCACATCTGATGAATAACCTGCATTTTAACAGATGAGAGAGATGCTGCCTTAGAGCACTGATACTTCACTGTGATGCAAAGTTATATATTTGAAAATATTTTTTAACCTTATGGTCATACATTTAAGGCTGGAGGATTATAGTAAAAGACAATTACATAGTTATTAGCCGTAAGCATAGAGAACTGTAGGGAATGTAAAAAATGATAAAAGAATGTATGTGTGCATATGTGTATGTGTGTATGCATGTACGCATGTAGCATGCATTGTCTTTATATTGTTGAACTGGGTGTCACACAATAACATCTAATAACTGTGTCTGTGTTTTAACCTGCTTCGGTTTTGGCTATATATATATATATATACTAATTTTATTGTTTATTTTGAAAACCTTGAGGAAAATGCGTCTTTGATCATGTTATAAAGTACAGTACTATAAGAACTCTTTTAACTATTCAATCAAGGGTAGTTTGTATAAGCGTAATAGTATCAGATACATACACTTAAGTGTGACCATTCAAATTTCACTTAAATCATTATATTTAATATTGAATTTCTAGAAGCAGTATATTGCTTACTGCTTCTTAATTACGTTATAGATGAGGTGGAAATGATAAAAACTAAAGAAGCAAGATTAATCTTTAACACACATTTCAGGCTGTTGTAAAAGAATAAACAATGCTTCATATAAACTTCTAGCAAATGACTTCCTAATGAGGTCTTGAAACAGTCTTTAGGGCACGGAATGTCATCACATAATTAAGCAGCTTTAAGCCTTTATTAAAAGGCTTAAAGTCGCAAACAATGAAATCTGAAACAAACTGTACCATATTAAACTTTTTGATGATATTTCAAATTCAGTAAAAGAAAAAAAGGATGGTTCAGAATAACATCACGTATTCTAATCCTGAAACACATAACAAATGCATCTGAAACAGCAATTCTTAAAAAGGTTTTGCCCTTTAAATGACAGTTATGCAAGGTAAACATTTATAGCTCTAATGAGATCTAATTTTATTTCCTTCCTTTAAATATTATACTTTAAACTTATATAAACTAAATTGAAATATAAACACATCTTATGACTATTCAACTTTTCAAAATAGTAATCAGTTTTCATTTTTGTTGTTTGAAATATGAACAGTAACTGAATCAAATTAAAATTCACAATCAGGTAAAACATACCAGAACCCAATCAACAATCCTGAAAGTAAACTTGCATTCCCTGAAAACATAGTGTTTTATTGAAAACACATATAGTACAAAGTTCCTGAAAGGCAAAAGGCAACTGAAGAAACAAAACAACATACTGCCTCTGTGTAAAGGGAAAGTTAGAAGATTTTATTTTTCTGTAGGTAAATAATTTGATTTTAAACAGCTTTGTGTGCTGAGTTTATAAACAAGCAGCTTGTAGTTGGAGTCTTCAACTTGTGGATTAGCTTCCACAATCACTAAAAGTACTTATTCATAAATTACCAAGAAAGAATAAGATTTATTTCACCAGGTATAGCATCAGAGAAAATAGTAAATAATTTTTCAGTGATAAACTCTTGTTATTTTGTAAATCCTGTATGAATTTTATGCTCTTCAAAACGTGCTAGGAAACAGTTTCTAATCTTTTCAGAAACACACACAGATGTGAAAAGTGGTTCTCTACTGACAATATCTGATACAGTGGTAAAGAGGTCAAAAGATACTCATTGACATGTTTTCTGAGAATACGTATTTTCAAATCAGAAAATAAGTAGCATACAAAATGCAAAGAATTATTCAATATTCTGCTTATATTTGCAATTCAACATTCGCATTTGGAAGTGATCCTTCCTTCAGAAAGCACACATATTTAGTTTCTAACAACAAACTGCATGTTGCAAAAGAAATAGTGGAATATTATATTTGTTCTTCTCTGTAGCCAGCTGTTAGACTAAATGTCTGCTTCTCAGAGAATACAGGCATCTGCTCCAGTGTTAGTTGTGCCAGTAAGCAAGAATGAAATTGAGTATCCTTTAATGCAAAGTTGTTTATTTAAAGGAAGCGAACATACAAATTCAATCACTTTACTATAATGCAAAAATAAGTATAAGAAAAGCCTGGAAACATTCATCTTACCTGTAAAGCAGAGACTCTTCCTGACGTTATCTGTAATGCACAGCTGGAAGAGGTGTTCAAAGTAATTCAATTCCTTTATTAAAAAAAAGAAAACACCAACCACTGCGTACTTTCTTCTCAAATATCACTTTTTGTCAAGTCCCATAGCTTCATAAAGTTAAAACCTCTGGTCAAAGATAGAATACTGAGCATTTCATTGAAAATATTTCAAGCAGAGTGCATACTAGAGCATCCTGAAGCAATTGTCCCTTTTTCCCTCAATTAAAATTCACGGCATACTTCACAGCTATGCTGACTTTTTTGCATATAGTTAACCATTTGCAAGCTGCTGAATGCAGTAAGTAAACAAGATGTTTAACAGAGCTGAGATTGATCACTCTTGCTTTCTTAGGTTGTAGATCCAAGCTACAGCAATGTTCTCCTTCCTCCTTTTCTAGTATTTCTTGTTAGCTCAGTTTGTTATTAGTCAGATTGCCAAGGGCTGGGAGGTAGGCGTAAATAAAGAGACTTCTTGGCTTTTGACTCAGCCTTTAAGCCCTTCCCCATCAGAGCGTTTTAATCTGCCAGTGTCATATAACACAAGAGACAGCTCCACCTTGGGACTGCTCAACTCCTCCTCTTTCTGCAAATGGTCTTTCCACTCCTTTCAATACCAAATATAGTGCAAGTGAATTTTGATGGAAATAATAACACGTCATTTTAAATGCTTAATAGTACATTGTGTTATAGCAAGCTAAATAATACGTTATGTTAAATTCTCAACTAACACTGTTCTGTAGTGTTTGCACACATGTGTGCAGGAAACACAAGAATGCTGCCTATAGAGTAGTTGCCTCTTTTTTTTCTTTTTTTTTTTAAATCTGGTATTTATAGTTGAAATTGTGCACTAACTAGATTGTAAAATGTTAACACGAACTGCTTCCCTGCAATATTTGTATTTTTGTATTCACCATTTAACTTTTTTAAAGCCTTATGTTAGGGACTCTAAGTTTTTACTTCATTATTTCTTTCCCTAGAGCTAATATTCAATAATTAAACTTAGAAATGAAGATCTTTCAGTTATTTTAATATATTTATTTAGAAGAAAAGCATAATTATTTTAAAATATATTTAAAAATCTTTAAACACAAAATAATTATCATTGATAAAGTTCTGTTTATCACTTTCAAAAATATAACATTATATCTTTACAGATAAAATGAAACAAGTGAAATATGTAGATATTACAATAACCTGATTTGTATAGTGCTAGCTCAGAGAGAATTTATTCTTAATAGGTTATATCTTAAAAGTTGCGTGTTTCTTCAGCTCTTAAAAGTTTCTGAATCATCACCATTATTACTCTTGTCAGATTCCTTATTTCTCAAAAAGCCTGTGGTTTAAAAAGTTATTCTTCTTACCTACCTTCCTGAACTTTTTCACATCCAAAGTGCATATACTAGATGCTGTCTTTTATTTGTTTATTCTGTTTAGAATAAATACAGATTCTAGAGGCCTTCTATGTAATAGTAGGTGTCATTTCAGAAAGTGCTGTTTTTAAAAAGGAGAGTTGATATAGTTTAAATCATCAAAATAGAAGAATATCACATTATTATTTAATGACATACACTCAGATTGATATAGTTTTATCGTCTCAGGGTGGTATATTGGCTCTAAACACATAAGGGCTCTGTGGGAATTTTCAGTATTCTCACTTTACTTTATATTTCCCAGTAATTAAGTTTCTCGTTTATTTTAATGACATTTTGTGCTTTAACATGGAAAAGAGATGATGATACAGAGGAGGGGGTTCGAAAATACAATAAAAATAAAAAAATGAGAGAATGAAGAGTATAAGTGAAGTTAAATATAAATAATTAGTGTTTGGCACAATTTCCTGCTAGCTGCTAGCCAAATTAATTAAATCAAGGTAATTATTTAGATAGATAGTTAGAAATTAGAATTTTAATCAATAAAAAAAGAAGGGGCAAGAATAATTTCCCTCCCAACCCTGTAGTCCTAATTTTTCACATGCATTCCTTTAGGTTTTGCAGTCAAGTGCATAGGAGAAATATTCTAGTAGCATAGTATGTGGAGCAAAATTTTTCAAGCCTACATATGGACAAATGAAAGTAATTTCTTTGTAGATTGACACATGTTTCTCTCATGTCCTTCAATTTGATCATGTATCTATTTTATCAGTCATATACACATAGCAGAAATTTGAAGATTTTTATCATGAATTCCTTTCCTACATAATGAATCTTGTCTTTTTAGTGCATAAATTACTGGGCAATTGCAGTAATTACTGGTCAATTCCCCATGATGGTAAGGGAGAGAAATATTGACTAAACACACTTTTTTAAAAAAAAATTATTCAGTTGTTCTATAAGCTTTCATTGGGAATAAAAAACTAAAAAAAAATTATTTGAGGAGCAATCTATAACTTTTAATTTAAAGTGGTAATGTTGATAATGAATTACTCAGCATTATCTCAAACTTAGTTAAAATATACACTAGCACATCTGAAAAGATCGTAGACAAGTCTGCTGTTCTCTAGGTTTTTTTCACTGTAATTCTTCAGTCATTATATCAAATCAGTACTGTAGCCATTTTTTCCAAAATGTTTATTATGGCAGGATATGTGCTAATGATTATTGAACAACATTTATTTTAACAATATTTTTAATTTCCAAGTAATCAATGGGAAAGTACTTTCTTAGTGTAGTTTTAATAATAAATTCATCACATGATTATAATAAACAATGAATTTTATTTATCTTCCCACCTAATCTATGCCTGCTCCCCCGTAACTTCAAATTATTATTATGTATTATTATTATTGTTATTATATATAGAGACAGGGTCTCACTCTGTTATCCAGGCTGGAGTACAGTGGTGCAATCGCAGCTCACAGTAACCTCCAACTCCTAGGCTCAAGAGATCCTCCCATCTCAGCCTCATAATAAGTACCTGGGACTTGGGGCATGCACTACCATGCCCAGTTGATTCTTTTATTTTTTTTATAGAGATGGGGGTCTTACCAGGTTTCCCAGGCTGTTCTCAAACTCCTGGCCTCAAGTGACCCTCCCATCTTGGCCTCCCAAAGTGCTAGGATTACAGGCTAATTATTAATAATAATAATATTTTTTGAGATGGAGTCTCACTCTGTTGCCCAGGCTGGAGTGTTGGCTCACTGCAACCTCAGTCTCCTGGCTTCAAGCAATTCTCCTGCCTCAGCCTCCCAAGTAGCTGGGATAACAGGTGCCCACCACCATGCCTGGCTAAATTTTTTTTATTAATTATTTTTAATCACAACCTGTAAATTATGTGTTATTGTGACATTTAACAATATCTCTGCTTTCAGAGTGTATATTTCTAAAGGGCCAACATAAAAGTATTACAATTGCATTGAATTATACCAAGCAGTCAGAAGAAATAAACCCATCTCTGTTATTAATTTTAGAGCGGCAGCCTACCATCAGCATATTTTATTGTGCATGAGGACATAGGAAGTGAAGTCCTTCCCTCCCTGCTTTCATGGATGTGGGGAGATCATCTTAATAGCCGATGACCTCAAAGACTATGTGGTAGAATGTTTTATGAAATTTGTTGAACTGATAGTGTGTACGGTACAAATAGAATGAAAAGACCAAGAATGAGCACTGGAAAAAGAAAAGAAAAAAGTAAAACAATGAGATTTATTCATTCTAAATAGGACCAGTTCCACCTTAGAGTGGCTTTCCACCTTTTTTAGTGTCACATTTAAGAGGTAAAGTGAAGATGTGTGAGATTGAGTTTAATTCAAAAATCTGAAAGCCTTGCAGGGAGAGAACTCTGTACCATCTGTGGTGTAGACAAAGGCATATTTAAATACTCTGAAGTTAGAAAGTATGAAACTTGGTGATTTGGGGGGGATGATAATACTCTAGGGAATTTTAAATATTAGCTAGTCATTTCACTCTTTGAAAAAAAATTAAATAATCTTACTCAGTTTCACTTTTTACATACTTATTTGATTGTTTTAAAAGGAATATTAAACACATTATTGGGAAACATAGTATTGTGGGCTCTGCTTTCTTTGTACTGTCAGGAAATTACACTGAAACTCATGATAATGCTACTAAAATAAAATATAACAAATACTTACAAATAATGCATAAATACACAGTCTCTAGAGACCCTGATACACTAATTTTATAAATATTTAAAAAATTATTTTATTTTGCACCAAAAGTTTTCTTTAAGTTTGAATATACCTTTTGAAAAGTGTCTTTGTTTCACTAAGAAACTTTAAAAATGCAAAATAAATAAGAAAAAATAAAATTCACTAGCAATTCCATAGCTTAAATTTAACTCAAATGTTTATTTTATATTTTCATTCTCTTTATTGTGTACACAAGTAATAACTTTTATAAAATGAGAAAATAATATTTAAAAAGAACAATGAGTAAAGTCTACTTAAATACACAATTGACTTATTTACATAAATCCAATTCATAGAATATAATAATAGAAGAATGTTGCCTTTCATCTTTTGAAATTGTATGCTACACAATTTTCAGATTGTGAACCCAGGGTGTTCTTTCATGTTTCACTGGAAGAGGACAAAAACACTTTCTAAACATTACTTTTTCTGTTGCCTAAGAATAAGAGTTTAATTATTATGGATATCTTGACTTCTGATAACAACATACAATTAAACTAAGAGACTAACTTTTAGATGATGAAGAATAGAAAATGTTCCTAACTTTTGCAATATACACACATCTGTAGATAAGTAGGTCATTGGCACAATGTTCATCATGTATGACTTATCTCAATGAAAGGTCATGTGTCTTAGAGGACACGTATAAGATAGATATAATATTTTATGGATATATAATGGATAAAAAGACTAGAAAAAACACTATGGAAATACAGAGGAAGAAGCGATTAAGTAAGTCACTTTGGGGAATTGGAGGAAGGCCTCACCATGAAGATAACATTGAACTGGATGTATGTTTAGGAAACTTGCCTTTTGCATTGTACCTTTAACTAAAAGTTTAATTTGTTATGTAAGTCTTATGTTTCCTCCATACTTAATTTGATCTAATAGCAAAGGTATAAAACTGATACAGGGAGTGCTTTATTCTAAGAGAAGTTTTGTAATAAAAACTTCCTCTTGGTGGTTTTAATTCAGTGAACACAAAGGAATTCTCTAATACCCTTGTTTAACCTGGCAAAATCTAAAAGAAAACGAAACAATAACTTTCCTCTGAAAGCTTAAGCTATGACCAGTCTGTCTTCATATAAATCCTATTGAAAAATTTCATAAAAATTCCTACTTCAAATGGAGGACCAAGCAAACTTAAAAAATACCTGAAAAATGAACCAAAAAAATTGTGAATAAATGTTTACACGATGCATAATGAACAATGTGCAAGAGAACAAGATGCATTGGAATAATTCTAGATTGTGAGTTATTTTGACTGTAGGGAGACACTCTAAGGAAGGGCTTATGTCTACTTCATATTTTTTCTCCATAGCACTATAGTATGTGTTGCACATGGAAAACAGTCAAATAAGTTGTTTTTTTGGATGTTCTCACGGTTGTGTAATCTTAGGATAGTTACTTCCTTGTTCTTCAGGAATGTATAAAGACAGATTTTTGGCACCCATATAACTAAATGCTATGGATCAAGATTAAAAATTAAAAATAAATAAATTGATCCCCTGTATATTTCCAAATGTTGTTTGGTAATTGTACTAACACAATCTATGCAACTAAATTATTTTATATTCAGATGCTTAATAATAAGAGTAGGCAAATGCCACATAATTAAATATTTGTGATAGATCAGATGCTTGGTGAACACCCTGCAGGACATATTAAAATTCCCGGATGTCTTCTATTGTCAATCAAGAATCATACATCACTGCCTCTGCTTATCACCGATTGCTGTGTCATTGAGGGATGCAAACTTATTTTAATAGCTATAATCTTAAAAAATTATAATATACAACCATTTTACAAAAAGTCAATTGCATTTATTTCAACTTACAATAAAGCTGTCAAAACCAAGATTATCCGTATCAAGCACAGCTATACATTTTTTTTTAACTATTATTTGAGATCATCTCTCTGGAGATCATCTCCACATAGTTGAGTAAAAGTAATAGCTTTTTAATTTTATATGCACAAATAATACTCAAGAAGATGCTGTTCAAAAACTAATTGCTTATTCTACATATTTAATATGAATGTTATTTTTAGACATCAAAAGAGACATATCTAAAATGATAAAGAATTTAAATAATGCCAATGACAACGTAAGGTTGATTAGTTGTCATGCAAACTTAAATGCCAAACTTTACATTTGTCTGGACAGAAATAAAATACTTTGTTACAACTGCATCTATAGGCTATAAAGAAAGTAATTGGTAAGGTACACATTTGTTGAGAAATAGAAGTGCATAGTTCAACAGATAAATTGGTACATTTTTAAGTTTGTACATTTTGACTTCATAACAATGAAATTAACATAAAAAGACATTTACTGAACTATTACTGCCATCAGTGGGTATTATATTAACCTACATAGTGAATAAATCATTACTGACAGGTTTTACTGAATGATATTGGCTTTTTTATTAGCAGAAATTTTACTGAAAAATTCCAAAATAATATAAGATATAATACATCTTGGTAAATAACATTTTTAGTGTTACATAACTTAGAAACTAAATATTTGTGCTATAAAGAATTCACTTAGATACCAAGAGAAAGTTATTCGTTTGGAATCAGTCTATAGTCAACACACAGAAATACATTTCACTTCCTATATATATACCTATGTGAAAAATTTAGGCTATAAGGTGAAAAATTTAGGCTACAAGGATAAACAGGGGGATATTTTTGTAAATATAATTATCTTTTTGACTATTTTACTGTATACATCTTACCTCTATTAATCTCCACTATCCCTTCTAGAACAATTTTTCTTTAGAACATTTTTCAAAAGTTTGAGTATCCTATAAAATAATACCATGTATATTTTATGTTTAAGAAAATAAGAATAGCATTAGCTATAATTTTCATGTTTCCATATACTGAAATGGGATATAGCTATTATGATATAATAATAATATACAAATACTAATAAAATTATAATAAAAACCAATAAAATCTATTAATCAAATAGCTACATGAAGTTATGCCTGTTTAAATGGACAGATTCTCCTTGATTCTTCATAAGGAAGAGAGGAGAAGTGACCTAGTAATAGTCTGTAGGAGGAAATATCAGATAAAATGTGGATATCTTCTATCAGATTTCCCTGGGCAATATAAATCCAAATTCTATCCTCATAAAATATTCATTTGCACTAAGTAGGATCTCAAATTTCTTTATTCAAAAATACTTTTAAGTTTGACGTCACCTGACTACAGAAAAAAATACTCTTTTTGTGTCATTTTTTGGGGGGGACTAATAAAAATCAGAGAGGTATTTCTAACTAGCAGTCCCTCATTTTTTCTGTAGCTCCCACGTACTGAATTTAAGGAGTTCCACAGTTTCAAACAATTATTTGATGGCAAAATTATATTTAAAACCTAGCATGTCTTTCTTAAGAAATGAATTGATTCAAAATAGCACTTACCTGCTCTTCTTTCCTTTATCTAGAGACACGTCTTCCACAAAATATGACTAATCTTTGATGTTAGTAGAAATTACTTTTTAAGAATCCTAGATTTGGGGGAAGAAGGAAGGAATGAAAACAGGGTTTTCAACCTAAAACCAACCTTGAAAATTTGTATAATATTAATAAGAGTTAAGAGAATCATTCCTAACACCGTCCTTGGTTCAAGGCATTTTTACTCTTCTAGCACCCCCTGGTGGATTTTTAAAGAAATTCTTACCTACTGAAAGAGTTGGATAGTATGCTGCTACTGTTCAAGTTTTACTCTAAATATATAGATTATATGTGTAGTTGTTCTACTGCCGGATCATAATTATTATTCTGGTGTTTTAAAAGTAGATTTTTAAGAAACAATGAACAACCAAATATTAACATGATTATAAGCAAGGTATTACAGACTGCATTTTTAGGAATCATTGACCATTTCTTAGCATGTCCTTACAAAGAATTAAAAGTTTATCTAAAAAAATAAGAGAGGGAGATAACATGCTGCAGTTATTAAGCAGAATCAAACTATCCTACATGTTTTTTTAACCTTAGGTATTTAATTAATAACATTAATAAAAATAAGGCATATGTATGTATACCTGTGAGCACTCCACATGAATGTAACTACTATAGCTAATCTACACGTAATAACAGTTTTATCCTTAAAAGATACCTATGGGACAACTACTATTACAATGGGACAATTGGAGCATATAGAGGTAAGGGAATAAATCTATTGGCACAAAATTAAGAGGCAGAATCTATATTCACTGATTCACTTCCCTCTGGCTTCTAAATTTGTTTATTCTGCAGATGACCGATACTCAGAACAATGGTTTTAATAAGTGGATACAATTTATAGAAATATCAGGTTTTGGTTCTATATATAATAGGAACAATTTTTTTAAACACTTGTGATCATCTTTTTCAATAAAAATACTTTTTGAAAACATATCCCATTCAATATGTAAGCATTAATGTCAATTGTGGGCAAACCATTGCATCAGTTGAAAACACAAAGATGAATCATTTATATTTTTACACACATATTTAGGATTCATATATAGATGGTCTCCAGCTTAGGATGACTCTTATTATTTTTCAACTTTATGGTAATGTGAAAGCCATACACATTCAGTGGAAAGCAGTAGGATACCCTCTTTCTATGCTGAGCAGAGCCAGTGAACAACACCTCCCAGCCAACCACCGTGATCTTGAGGGTAAACAACTGATACACTATAGCAGGGGACCCAAACCCCTGGCCACAGACTCGATCTGTAGCCTATTAGAAACTGGGCTGCACAGCCGGGTGCGGTGGCTTACGCCTGTAATCCCAGCACTTTGGGAGGCTGAGGCGAGCAGATCACGAGGTCAGGAGGTAGAGACCAGCCTGGCCAACATAGTGAAATCCTGCCTCTATTAAAAATACAAAAAAATTAGCCAGGCGTGGTGGCAGGCACCTGTAATTCCAGCTACTCGGGAGGCTGAGGCAGGAGAATCACTTGAACCTGGGAGGTGGAGGTTGCAGTGAGCTGAGGTTGCACCAGTGCACTCCACCTGGACGACAGTGTGAGACTCCGTCTCAAAAATAAATACATACATACATACATAAAATAAAATAAAAAAGAAACTGGGCTGCACCGCAGGAGGTGAGTGGTGGGTGAGCCAGGGAAGCTTCATCTGTATTTACATCTGCTCCCCACCACTTGCTTTACCACCTGAGCTCTGTCTCCTGTCAGATCAGCTGCAGCATTAGATGTTCATAGGAGCGCGAGCCCTATCATGAACTGTGCATGTGAGGAATCTAGGTTGCACACTCCTTATGAGAATCTAATGCCTGACGACCTGTCACTGTCTCCCATCACCATCAAATGAGACCATCTAGTTGCAGGAAAACAATCTCAGGACTCTCACTGATTATACATTATGGTGAGTTGTACAATTATTTAATTATATATTACAAGGTAATAACAGAGATAAAGTGCACAATAAATGTAACTTGCTTGAATCATCCAGAAAACGTCACCACTCCCACACTAGTCCATGGAAAAATTGTCTTCCACAATTTGTCCCTGATGCCACAAATGTTGAGGACCGCTGCTGTATAGCGGACTATGTTGCCAGATGATTTTGCCCAACTGTAGGCTAATTTAAGTGTTCTGAGTATGCATAAAGTAGGCTATGCTGCATGTTCAGTAGATTAAACTTATTAAATGCATTTCTGACTTGATATTTTCAGCTTATGTAGGTTTATCAGGATGTAACTCCATCTTAAATCAAGGAACACATGTATATTTAAATATAATGAAAGATAATGATAATTTATTGACTGATAAGGTATGCATATAAATGTCAGTTTCCTCATCAGACTACGTTATGTTAGTCATCTATACTTCTTGTCCTTCTCTCTCTGTAGATGAGAATCAAGCTGCTGTAAGGACTGACAATAAGAGGAAGTCACTTTATGTAAGCTCCCACTCTGTTTACTTCAGATATGCCTGAGGAAAGAGCCTCTAGTGCAATACATAGACCAAAAGCCTTAAGAATCAGATTCATGTTCCATGCTCTGCATCTCAGGAGCTCCTTACTCTTCCTTATCTAGGGTAGGCCTAGATATTTTATAAGATTTTCCAAGTAGATATGTAATCTTTCCTTTATAATAAAAATAACTCCTTCCATCTGTGCCATCTCCTTTCTACTCCACAATAGATACAGGTATGTTTCAGTAACTGAAGGGATGGGCGTGCATTAGTAATGTGGGGGGGTGTGCACCAGACCCCTGCGATATCTAAAGAACAAACAAGGGCAGGATTGAAATAGGAGAGCCTGTGTTCACCAAACATGACAAAGGGCTGTGATGATATCACTTCTTCTTGATCACCCTGCTCTCCCTTCTCACAACACACGTTAACAACTTAATACTTCTTATCCTCCCAAGGATTTAATTTTGCTGTCCTTTGTTAAACTCTTAATATATTAAATTTTGTATTTTTCTTGGTATTATGATGAATACTAGTTATTTTACGCTACCCTAATACGGTAGTTAGACCACCTGAATTCCTCACTGGTGATCATGTTGTTATTCTTTCGCTAAATAAACTTAAACTATAGTGTCTCCTCTCCCACGCTGTCAATTTCTATTCTTATTGCTTTCAAAAAACCCACTTATATAATAACTCTTTAAAACAAATGTACAAGTTTGTTAGATGTATGTACAGATTGAGAAAATATGTTCTCAACAATATATGCATAATCATTAGGTTATGAAAATTGTGATTTCTAGTTAGTCTTATACTGAAGTCTTTTTTAAAAATTTGATTTTTTTGTACCTCTTCTAGATGGGTAAAGTAGCTTTGTAGCTAAGAAATATATGTAGATTTATGATAATATGAAAATTATTAAAACAATACTATAAATTCAGAATCCTTATGTTAACATCGATAAATGCAAAAGTACCTGTAGATAGACAAATTTGAGGATTCTTTTAAATTGTTATTTGCAATTATTATGGTATATAATAAACAATTTTATAGGGTACATGTGATATTTTTGATACAAGCGTATGATGTATAATTATCAAATCAGTGTAATTGCGGTGTCCATCACCTCAAGAATTTATTATTTCTTTGTGCTGGAAACATTCCAATTCCACTCTTTAGTTATTTTGAAATACACAACAAATTATTGTTTACTATAATCACACTAAGCACTGATACATACCTAGAAGTGTTTTAGATGTTATTTGTCTTACACCACTATTATACATAAAGAAATTAAAATTCAGGAAAAGTGAGTTGTTTGTAATTATCTCATAGCTGAAAAGAGAGTCAGTTTTAACGTGAGCCTTTGATTTTAGGATTCTTTTTATGTGTTGCACTAAACAAAAATGTAAAGAACATTTGGGAACCATAAAATAAGCAATAATATCATTTTCTAACATATAAAATGCTTCATTCTTTTTTGAATATGTTTATATACATTCAAGAATATGTATATCTAGTATATGTATGTGTGTGTATCTATATACACAGACACTCATAATCAGGTATTTTTGTCTCCGTACTCATAATCAGGTAAATTGCTATTAGTTTCTCTTTTTGGGGATCATAAAATTCACAGTATTGTCACCACTTTTTTCATGAATATAATTATATGTCGTTTGGAAAAGTTCATGGCTAATTTTCACAGCAGTTCTTGCAGGTTGATGTTTCATGACTGATATTGACAGTCTTGTGCATACTGGTATATACAAATAGCATAAGAATAACTATGATAAGTGTAAACATTAAATAACATAGTCAGTTCTTACTATTCACAGATTCTCTATTTGTGAATTTGCCTAATCACTGAAATATATTTGTTACACCCAAATGAATATTCTCACCCTTTGCAAATTTCTGAAAGTACAGAACAATAAAAAGTTTGAGTCACCTGATGTGCAAGTACTCAGCTGAGGTCAAAGAAGGAAGCAACACTGCCTTCTTGTTTCAGTTCTTATATTATAAACACATATCAATTTCACAGTATAGTTAGTGCTACCTTTTTCACATTTTTCCTGCTTATTAGTGATTTCACTGATTAAAATGTAACACAAGCATAGTGCTAAAGTTCTTTCAAATATTCCTAAGCAAAAAAAAACAAATGAACAAACAAACAAACAAAAATACAAGGATGTGCCTCAGGGAGAGAAACATACGTACTAGAAAAGCTTCATTGAGGCATAAATTGTAGTGCTGTTGGCCATGAGTTCAATGTTAATGAATCAAAAATATACATAAACAAGATGTTTTTAAAAAGAAACACACGTAAAACAAGGATATGGATTTTAAGGATTGATCAGTTGATGAAAGTACTGTGACCAGAGGCTGGCAGGAACCTAGTCCTCTGTTTCCTCTAGGAGCAATGGCTCAGTAGTCACTAATTCAGTGTTCGTGAATGACATTATAAAACATAACTACTGCAAATAATGAGAATCAATTACATGTTGTAATAAACATATATTGGTGTAACAAATTTTAGTAGAATGCCACAAATACCAATCACTCATGGGCCTTTTCTTCTAGCATGATTAATTTAATAGAGGAATATTGAATATCAAAAATCTTAGAAAATATTTGGAGGCTGGAATTAATTTTCATGATAATGGTTAGTTGAGTAAGAGTTGTGATACAATTTAAACATCATAAAAATATTAGTTTTATAAGAAATTATTTATTGGGGCTCAAAATTGTTAATACATGTGGTCCATCAGTATCCCTGGAGGCAGCAAATGCGATCTAGAAGTTGTTTAAGTGCTTCTGCAAATGGCCTTGAGAAATCCAAGCAGCTATGTGAGTATATGGAACTACCAAACACTGCCCAGAGCAACCAAGTAAGGGATGTGTTGGAGCAAGTGATGAGAAATTTGACTACTTTGATCAACTCAGCAGCACAAGTTGTCTGAGTTCAGATCACGTATTAGGCACTGACTTCTGGAATGTGTCTCTGGTAGAAACTCTAGGACAGTAGACTCACCTGCCCCTTGGCTCTACTAAAAGGCCTCATACCAGGATGAATGAGTGCCACATTAATAGATAATTTGTTGGAAGGGTTTGATTTGGTTCATCATTTTGAATGTTGATTCAGATAAAGCTATAATTTTATTAAAGATCATTGTGTTCTAAACAAATTTTTAAAAATATCCTAAATTATTGGAATATATAAAGAACTTTTGTCAGGTGGTGTGTTTATTTGGCTCTGTGATGAAAGGCCTTGGCTTCTGCAGGGCACCCTCATTATTCAGGTCAGAGTCAACAAGAACGAACATGGATTTCAGTGTGTCCTTATGGGGTTCAAGCTCATAATGATTTCCAGCTTTCTTGTGATCTTCTTTTCTGACTGCCTGGTCTGTGGACTTCAAACTCCAGCATTAGACACAGAGATAATAGCTTTACAGGACTGCTTCACCAGCTGTCACAATTCTGTAATAACAACTCTATCTTTCTCACAAATCCATCTGTCAATCTCTCTATGCCTCCTAGAGGTTCTGCTTCTCTGGTTGAAACCAGACTGATAGCTTGGTATGACATTTGATGGTGCACAAATTTTAGTTTATTTAGAGATTGAGGAGAATATATTTTATTTATATATTGATTCATATTTTAATTTTATTACCATACATGCATGGCAACTTACTTAGAAAGCATTTTATATAGGTGGATTTGAGTTTATTTAGGTATGTATTTTATATTAATGTACATTCCCATAACTTCCATAAATATTAAAATACAGTATCCAAATAGACGGTAAACAGTGAATTCCTATTTCTGTCTTAACCTAATATGTATGAACAAAGTGAACAACAAATAGCTTTTTGTATCATTTAAACACGTCTGGGTTTTATAAACATGTATATATTTGATTTTAAATAAACAGTAGATGATTTCATTATAATATGAGCCACAGATGATAAGAGCTGCAGATGATAAGATCAACATAATACATTCACTATAAATGCCCTAGATTTTTAGTTAGTCTAATTTCTTTTAACTAGGAATAATACAAATATCTAACATATTTCAAGTAAATAAATTTGAAAATATATCTTTCTTTTGCTAACTATAATCAGATGTTATAAATTGATAATATTTTAATATATGGGACACTTGAAATAAAAATAGACAAGTCAAACACTACCATTAGGTTTGTAAATAAAATATTGATCCTTACATATGACAATGCATATTATCAGAAACAAATCTGTATCTTCTTCCAGAAGACCAATGTTAAAGAAAACATAGGAAATAAATTTATTAATACTGCTTATGGGGTCATGGGTTATTTGTTATATCCTTATGTATTTGTTTGTTTTTATGCTGCTGATAAAGACATACCCAAGACTGCGAAGAAAAAGAGTTTTAACTGTACTTACAGTTCCACATGGCTGGGGAGGCCTCAAAATCATGGCGGGAGGTGAAAGGCACTTCTTACATGGCAGCAGCAAGAAAAATGATGAAGATGCAAAAGTGGAAACCCCTAATAAAACCATCAAATCTCATGAGACTTGTTCACTACCACAAGAACAGTATGGGGGGAAACTGCCCCCATGATTCAAATTATTTCCCACAACACGTGGGAAATAGGGAATTATGGGGGTACAATTCAAGATGAGATTTGGGTGGGGACACAGCCAAACCATATTCGACTAAAGAACATCTGCTTTACATTTGGACCAAGGTTTTATATGTATATATATATATACACACACATATAACCTTGGTCCAAACCTATCTGTCTGTCTGTCTGTCTGTCTATCTATCTATCTATCTATCTATCTATTTTTTTTGAGGTGGAGTCTCGCCCTGTCACCCATGCTGGAGCGCAATGGCACAGTCTTGGCTCACTGCAATCTCTGCCTCTCAGGTTCAAGCGGTTCTCCTGACTCAGCCTCCCAAGTAGCTGGGACTACAGGCGCGTGTCATCAGCACACCTGCCTAGTGGTCATATTTTTATAAATTGCAAAATATAATAAGATGTTCCAAAATGTTTTGATTTAAGCCTATCTTCTCTAGCTGTTAATGAAAATTCTCTATATGTGATTCTAAAATGATGAACCTTGGCTTCTGGGTATGATCATTTGACATAAGAAAATTCTTATAGACTAAACTTCATCGGTGCATATTTTCATAAGATAACCTTATCATTTTACCATGGCGTTCAAAGATCTATAGAAAATGTATTAATTCCCTTCACCTCCCCTTTCAGAACATCATTCTCATGGTACTTTGTCTCAGATAATCTCTACATCTTTCTCAAGTGCTCAGGTTTCTCCTGAAAGACTGACTCTCCACTTTTGAACTGTCCTTATCAAGCTCAGAATCATCTGCTAATGTTTGGCAAATAAATTCATGACTAGGCTGTTTTACTGATTCAGATTTTTCTTTTTTCTTTTTTTTTTTACTAGTTTGATTCAGTCCAAAATCCAAAATTCTCCATAAATTGACTCTCAGTTAAATTCTTTTTTAAAAAAATTTTACTTTCAGTCTAAAATACATGTGCTGAACGTGCAGGTTTCCTAGGTATACATGTGCCATGGTAGTTTGCTGCACCTATCAACCGTCATCAAGGTTTTAAGCCCCACATGCATTAGGTATTTGTCCTAAAGCTCTCCCTCCTCTTTCCTCCCACCCCAACAGGCCCTGGTGTGTGATGTTCCCTTCCGTGTGTCCATGTGTTCTCATTATTCAGCTTACACTTATGAGTGAGAACATGTGGTGTTTGGTTTTCTGTTCCTGTGTTAGTTTGCTGAGGATGATAGTTTCCAGCTTCATCCATGTACCTGCAAAGGACATGAACTCATCCTTTTTTATGGCTGCATAGTATTCCATGGTGTATATGTGACACATTTTCTTTATCCAGTCTATCATTGATGAGCATTTGGGTGGGTTCCAAGTCTTTGCTATTGTAAATAGTGCTGCAGTAAACATATGTGTGCATGTGTCTTTATAGTAGAATGATTTACAGTTCTTTGGGTATATATCCAGTAATGAGATTGCTCTTTCAAATGGTATTTCTGGTTCTATATCCTTGAGGAATTGTTAAATTATTATATATTCCTTTTATAGAGATAATATCCTTTCTATTCCTCCATTACTCAAACTGCCTTTGTTTAAACTGTTCCTTTTGCCTGAAATTTATATTATTTGTTGCATATCTTACCTGTCGAAGTGTCATCTGTACTTATAGATCAATTTCAAATCTAGCATCTACCAGGAACAATGATTGATTCTTATGTAACTCCAAAAGTTAAATTAAATGGTAGAAACCTCAGCTGTAGGACCTGCTAAGTGGAAAACAGTTTCACATAATAAAGCTTAGTGAAAACATACCTTACATTATACAGCAGTATAAAATGAATCAGAAAATGAGGTGACATAATTTAACAAGAGCTAAATTTAATTATCCTGCATAGAATAATGTTGGATTGAAATGGAAGATATAGCAATCATCGAATGCTATGAACCCCAAAGAAATCCACAGTTTCTCCTAATTTCAATACAATTAAATTCAATCTTATACTTTCATTCGAAGTTATTAAATAACAGTCTTCCAAGATTATACCTACTTTGTATCAATGTTGTCTTATTCCCCACATTTTATTTCTTTAATCTCATTTAAAAAATATTATATAATTGAGATGGCCTGTGTTCTGATGACATTAACATTTTAAAATAAATAATCAGTTCTTATAATAAAATCAAAAACACGAAAAGGACATTTTATATTACAAGTAAGATTAGGATGATTATCATGTACCAGACAAAATTTAATTGCATGTTTAATGTTATAAATTATGTCATGTATTTTACTCTAGAACACAAAGTATTACAAAGTATGTGTATATCAACATTATTTTATATAATTTAGTTGTATATGATTTATAATTGAAGATTTATATATTTTTATGCATTCACTATTTCTTGAATTCTAAAAATAGTAATCATATCAAGAATATTAATAAATGTATATTGACCATCTTTAATGGAAAATTACTTTGGTAAACACTACATATATATATAGAGAGAGAGAGAGAGAGAGAGAGAGTCTTTACAACAACCCTTTAAATGATATATTATTATGATCCTTACTTTACAGGTAAAAAGAGTGAAAATTAGAAAAGAAAAATAACTTGCTGAGGGCCACACAACTAGTAAATAACAGAACAGAGGCATCCATTCAGGTCTGGCTGAGTGTAAAAGATCATGCTTTACTGCCCTAGTCAGTTTTAATGAAACATAAAATGCATTAGTTTTGAGTTACTTGACATTTAAAAGTTAGACGTTAAGTAAAATATCAAGTGATATATTAGCATAATGTAAATCCATTAATTTTCAAATTTAAAAACACTATTGGTTGTGGGTTGTTAAACATATCTCAAGAGAAAAATATCTTCATAAAATATGTGTAAGAAAGGTGTTTTTTTTCAAGAAAAGCAAGTTCAAAATCAAATGTCTAACTGGCTATAAATCATTCTGCAAAAGATGTGCATGGTAAAATTGTAATTTATAGTTCAATATCTCCCTCTGCTGTTGGCAAATACTAGTGAAAATCATTTAAGCATGTGCCTATATAAATGATATAATACTTTCATTCTTTTAAAACACTAAACCTCATTAAAATGTTTATAATCTTTTTCTCTGTCTTTGGAAATTGTGAATCCTAGATTATATTTAAGAAAACATTTTATTATTTTGAAATGTATACAAAACTGTTAAAAGTTAATTTATGGTGAATAATTTATATAATAAATTTACCCTTCCAAAATCAGTCTATTTCATAAAGCTGTTTCAGGTCAATACATGGCCTATTAATTGTCACTGGAATGCTAACACTTTTTTCTATTATATGATTGAAAATTATTTAAAAATTACTTTAAATTTCATAGGTTTTCAGGATAGGATAAACTATGACTAAATATATCTTTTTTCAATATCTTTATTAGTAAATTTACAGCTCTAAATTTAGTATTGAATACTATTTCATAATAACAAATAATACAAACCACAAATACAAAAAGTCACATCATAAATGATTTAAATAAAACATTATATTAGCAACATTTTGTTCCCAAGGTAAAAGCAGAGCATAGACACTCAAAGGAATATATCATTATTTTGTATTTGCAAAGAATCTTTTGTGTTTTTAATAAGGTATTTACTAAAATTATATTTATTGTAGTAACATTATGTAGGTATCAATTAATCTTCTCTACGGTTTATGATAATTAAGAGAAAATAGAAACTTAATGAATAAAATATTTGGAAAATTATGTGTTTTTAATCACAGGAAACAAAGAAAATTAAGGTTAAATTAATATGTGGAAATCCAGGAAAAGTCATAAAGTGCTTTGCAATCCAGTAAAGTTAATTTAGCAATGGAATTAACTTATTATTTATATGAATATCAAGTTTAATGATTTACACAATGAAAGCTTAAACTTTTATTGTTGGCTCCCCGTTTTTATTTCTACTTTTTTTAAACCTCATATGGATTGCAATGAATTTTTATAATTCAGTTTATCTTAGCTTCATACAATAAAAATGAATCTCTGGCTTGCACATACTCCAATGCGGTTGTTTCTGGCCACTAATCTCTTGTGTGACTTTGCTCCAAGCAGTAATTAGAGTCATGCCTCTTTACATTTGTGGTGCTCACAGCTTCTAGGGCTGTTAAGTTATTCTAGTTATGGAGACAGAGAAAACGAGAGAGAGAGACTGAAGAATTGACAAACCGTTCTAGGGCTAGACCTAGAAGTGATGTATGTCATGTCCACTTCATTATATTGGAGCTCTGAATTAACTGGATATTGGTACAAACTAGAAGTTACCACTAGTATCATTTCTTCATTGTATTTGTCTCTGTCTGCAATTTGTTTTGAAATTACAGTGGTGTTAGTATTTTATATTTTTCTTAATTTATGAGCAAGATGTAGGTTTTCTTTTGATAAAATGTGAAATGTTCCCATTTCACCTAAAACTGAAAAAGAATATGATTAAATAGAAGCCCCTTCCAGAAAAGAAAAGCTTATGGAAAGCCTCACCTTTGATGTGAAGAAGTAAGAGAAAGAGGAAGAAAAGGATAAAACAAATATGTTAGAAAGATCACAGACTTCTGCTCCCTTCTCAACCCATTTCTTAAACTTGAAGAGGATGATAGTAAATTCCAAATAAGTCCAAATAAAGTAATAATACAGAAAGTACCAGAAACACTGTTCTCCTGATGTGATCTGGTAGAGGTCATAAGTCTTCAAGAGAACTCTTTCATGTAACTATGTCCCACATGTGTTCCACATGAAGTGGACGCCTAAATAAATATTTGTCCGTGCATGTTGCTTGTGGCTTTCAAGAGATACTGAGGTTGTCAGGTGCCCTTTTGAGTTGATTAATACATGTTTGAAGATAAGTTTCAATTGTCAGTGCCAAAGTTTACATTCTTGCACATGTGTTTTTGTTATTTGAAAAAAACAACTTCCTGTTTTAGTTGTCCTTAAATGTAGCTAGACACATGCACTTTTCTCGTCTCAAGAGATATTTTCATCAAATTGTCAGCTAATATTTGTGATGGTAATAAATTTAGTATTATAAATTCATTGGAGAATATAAGCATTCTTATAGCCTTTCTTCCCACACTGGGATATGGCATGTGTTTCTATTTATTCATGTCATTGAAAAATTATTCTTCTTCTCTTTTTGAGACAAAGTCTTGCTCTGTCACCAGGCTGGAGTGCAGTGGCATGATCTCAGCTCACTGGGCAACATCCGTTTCCTGGGTTCAAGTGATTCTCCCGCCTCTGCCTCCCAAGTAGCTGGGATTACAGGCATGTGCCTCCATGCCTGGCTAATTTTTATATTTTAGTAGAGACAGAGTTTCACCATGTTGGCCAAGATGGTCTCGATCTCCTGACCTCATGATCCGCCCGCCTCAGCCTCCCAAAGTGCTGGGATTACAGGCATGAGCCACTGTGCCCGGCCCATTAAAACTTTATAATTACATTCATAGATAATCACATATATTCTAGTTTTTTTAAACATAATTTTTGTAATCATAGAAGGCATTTGGTTTTTAACAGTTTTCTGTTTAATTTAGTGCACTCTTTTTGTGGCTCTTGTTTTTGAAACATTTTTCAGTTTCTTTCTGTATCTTTAATTTCAAAATGTTCCTTTGTATAAAAATAAGCTCAAACTGGAGTTGCTTTGTAGATCATTTTAATCATGTACAAGGTTGCACAAAACATGTAATCATATTCCTTTGGGGTTAAACATGCACTAAAGTATACTATTATAATTGTATCAAAATTAGTTAATTATTTAATTTTATGAGTAACTTCTGACCAACTAAATGTTGACTAACTTTCTCATTTATAACCTTTAACATGTCTAGAAATCATTATCAAAGCAACAAAATGGTTGGATAAATGTCAACTGTTTTTATATGTCCTTTAAAAGGCATCTGTGTAACAGACATGCATTATTTGCAGTAATCACAAAGATCAAAGAGATACTTAGTACTCTGCCCCACGCATATGCAAAACAGTCAATTTAGTTTATATAATGAAAAACAGGTTGCCAAAAATATAACACTTGTCCATCTGTTCCTTCACTTTATGTGGAGCTTTATCCCAAAACCTCACGTAGATAAATCTGAGTAATTCTAAGTAATGCTGTCCTAGAGGCTTATTTCTTCACTTGAATGAATTTGCCCATAAGGCAACAATATTTAAAGCCTTCTCTGTTTAAAAAACATGTACTTCTTGGTAAGCTAAGTGATCTATAATTGAACATTATCTTTGATCTATGTTGCTATTGCAAATAGGAATGACAAATAAACCTAAATAAATATCTTATTTAAGAATTAGTAACACAACAAAAATTTGTAGTTTTGTTTCAAAGTCAGTTTGAAAATCATTCATTGTGAAACGACTCACTGCTGCCCCACCATTAAATGACTACACACACACCTACACACACACACACACTCCTGCCTATATATCTATCCATCTCTATCCCTTTACCTTTGGCATCATTTTGAATTTTGATTTTTGGTTTTTTGAAAGCCAGATTTTGATATTCACTACTCTTCTCCTTTCATAGTTTATTTAAATGACAATCATAAATTCATTCATCACTTTATTAAATAATCTGAGAACTTAATCATTGTCAGAACACTGGATGCTGTATACAGTCAACAAGAAAAAAGAATCCAGAACTTCTAGATTGTACTGTAATCAGAATAGCAATAGGAAAGATATGTACATATATAATATAGTTGGTTAATAACAATTATGAATGATGATAATCTTTTTTTTTTGTAATATGGGGACCTAACTGAATTTGAAAATTTAAGCAAGACTCCAAATAGAAGTGACATTTATGCTGAAGCTTCCAGAAAAATTAGTCATAAAAGGGCTCATTGATTGTGTGTGTGTTTGCAGGAGAGAGAGTGTTTGTTGAAAAAAGAGACAATATATGTGGGATTCTGGCAGTTTCAGTCCTCATTAGTCAACATTTGGGTGGGAAACTATGAGCTGTACACATTGAAGATTAAAGATTTTCATATACTCTGCTTCCTCTGAACAGCAAGGCCAAATGTGTAACTGCGGATGCCTCTTTATTTTTTTCCCCAGAGCTAAAATAAATAAAAACACACATAATGTATCATGCCATGAAATGTGCATGGTAAACTTTGAAAAATAAATATAAGTGAAAGGAATTTTAATGATGGAAGGGCTTTCTGCTCCCAATTCAACTCTTAAGAAGCCATGAAATAAGGCATAAGTATGGATCTTATAAATCTTATAAACTAATACAAAATTCTGACAATGCCTGGGCAAACAAAGCTTCCATAATATGATATATGTCCAGGTGAAGACAGCTTGTAATAGAAAATATCTGGGTATAGCAGACTAAGTTAAGCAAAAGTTTTTAAATGGCGCTCTTGCTTCATTCCATTTTTACTTAGGAGAACTATTCTGTTTTGTTTTGTTTTGTTTTGTTTTGTTTGAGACAGAGTCTTGCTCTGTGGCTCAGGCTGGAGTACAGTAGGCATGATCTCAGCTCACTGCAACATCCACCTCCTGGGTTCAAGGGATTCTCCTATCTCAGCCTCCTGAGCAGCTGAGATTACCGGTGTGTGCCACCATGCCTGGCTAAATTTTGCATTTTTAATAGAGACAGGGTTTTGCCATGTTGGCCAGGCTGGTCCCGAACTCCTGATCTCAGGTGAACTGCCCGCTTTGGCCTCCCAAAGTGCTGGGATTACAGGCGTGAGCCACCATGCCCATCCAGGACACCTATTTCGTACCCATTTTTCCGCAATAGAGAAATTAGCAGCTATAGCCAAGGGTGAGAGGTGTGTGTGAAGGACACAATTCAATAGAGAAGCCATGAAGAGCTACAGAGCTGATGAAAGTACAGGTTGCCTGGCCAGCTGCTATCAGCCCCTTCATATTTTCTGCTTGATTCTTTCAGATGATAGAGAATATTCTCTTTCCAGAATAATCAACTGGTAGATTGGCCATGCATGAGGATTATTGATATGGATCACACAACATGGTTGTGTGGCTACTTCAGGTGCTATCACTTAACAATTCCTAACAGGTCACTTCTAGTCTTATGCCTGCAGGAAGGTTTTGGGGAAAAACAAACAAACAAGCAAACAAAAAAACTTCCTATAATGGGTCCGGACCTGCCATTTCCCTCTCGGCATACATCTTGTTCATGACCAACAATTGGTCATCCTTTGCCCAAAAAATTTACAGGAGTTAGTCATTCTTCACAAAGTCTAGTTCCCTAGACTAGACTATCATCAGATACCTAGCCTACAGTCTTTAATTTGTAGCTTTCCTGGTTTGGGTCTAGCCTAAGTGCATCACTCAGAATCAAGAGGCACAGGTTAAGTTCTGAGTGGTCTCCTGGAAGCCCTTCTCACTATAAATGAGAATAAATAACATATTTGTCATCTCCATGTAGATTTAAGAAAATGCCACCAAATCCTAAAATTTTCCAAAGAGATCATCTCTTCTTTCCCAATAACCCCAAACTTATTTATACTCTGAAGGCTTATGGTGACTCTGCCTCTCTAAACAGGTTTATACATATCTTCCTACAAGTCTTGCATACATTAATTACCATCTCATTTTGGATATGGAGATACTTAACCAAATACTGATATATCTTGGTCTTCTGATGCCTCAATCCAAAGCAGTTAGAACAATTTCCATTTTAACAGAGTCTTACAATATTAAACTGAAATGAGAATATGATATCACCTAAGGACTTTCACTCAATTTCCTGCACTTGAGCTCCAATAAAGAAATATCAATTTAATTTGATTTTCATGTTTTTGTAAATATTCTTTTGTAATATCCATTGTGCCATTTAACTCCTGGAAATGGGGTGAAGAAAATTCTACGTCAAAAACAGGGAAGATATAACACATGGGAAAAAAGAGTGGACCAAAAAGATTGACAACCAAAAAAAAAAAAATCTGGAAAGGAAGTAGATGCCTAGACAAATGTGCCCTGACTTGCTTCTGTGTCCCCAGGTCATGTAGAAGAATGTACTAAGGAGACTGAATGGAATTCTAAGGGCAAGGGTGTTTTTCTACCATCTCTATTTTGAACTCTGGAAGAAGCCCCTTTCTCATAGTTTTTCCTGTTCAAAAATGTGTGGAGCATTGTGTCTGGAATGTTGACTCAGTGGTGACAGGAGAGGCAGATATTTTGATAAATCTAATATGCCATCCTCCTCTTCACTGGAGAACTTGAATGATCTTGGATGTGAGAGGAGAGCTGGTAGGCTGGTATCAGGACAAAGAAGTCAGGGTATAAAAGAAATTTGTATTACTGCAGCAGCAGATTCCTGCATGGTGTTCCCTATTAGGCCAAATAGAATCTGTATATCTCATTAAAAGCCAGTCTGGAAATAGAATAGATGAGATAATCCGTAGCAAAGACTAATGGGAATCTGAGATTCCATTGACTGGAAAGTTTAACATGTGGTTCTTGGTGTGCCCCTCTCGACCCACACACACAAACACTCACCAACATAGGGACACCCAAAGGGGAGGAAGACTCAAGGAAGAGGAATTAAGTTATAAATTACTTATTGTTTGCCTAACTGAAGTGTAATGGTCGAATGGTTGAATTGTAACCTGTCACATTAGACCAGAATAATAAAACATTTGACAGACTATCATTCAGATTATTAAAATAATTTATCTAATTTATCATAAATATCCTAAAGAAAATATCTTTATTATTTCTGAATGATTAAAATGACCACGTTAGATAATATGAGAGAAAGTGAATAAAAGATGATTATTTTATTTGCCTGAACACCAAATTGAAAGCCAATAATTAGTTATAATTGTAATGTTCATAGCGCACATTGACTTTCCACAGTACTTGCGTCGGAGACATTTGGACAAGAGCAAATCCATCTTGAACAGGTGCTCGGTAAAATGAGGCTGAGACCTACTGGGCTGTATTCCTAGGAGGATGGGCATTCTTAGTCAACAGGATATTCACAGTTAAGGAAATAGGTTAATAATGTTTACTGAACAGACCCGGGACTTAATAGAGCCAGGGAATGTCCTGATGATACCTTAAGAGCAAAATATTCTTAGTCTAAGAATAAGCTTTGCTTTAAAGATGATAATATAGATTCTTGCAGAAGACAGAATCAGAAGACTCTGCTGATAAAACAGGATGCAGTAAAGAAGCCAGACAAAATGTGCCAAAATTAGAAGGGCAATGAAAGTGACCTCTGGTCGTCCTTACTGCTCATTATACTCTGATTATAATACATTAACATGCTAAAACACGCTCTCACCAGCGCCATGATAGTTCACAAACGCCATTGCAATGTCCCGGAGTTACCCTATATGGTCTGAAAAGAGGGGGAACCATCAGTTCTGAGAAATCTGCATCCCTTTCCTGGAAAACTCATGAATAATCCACCCCTTGATTAGCATATAATCAATAAATAACCATATGTATATTCAGTCAAGCAGCCTATGCTGCTACTCTGCCTATGAAGTAGCCACCGTTTTATTATTGTATTTTCTTAATAAACTTGCTTTTACTTTCTTCTGTGGCCTCGTCCCCATTTATTTCTTGCATGGGATCTAAGAATTCTCTCTTGGGGTCCGAATCAGGACCCCTTTCTGGTAACACGTGCATTCTTTGATAGTAAGTGCCAAAACTCCAGCTTTGTAGAGATGTGATATAATTAAAAGGAATACAGAATTATCTAACATTGAAACTTTAAGTTACCTTGAGTTAATATTTTGTATAATATATGACAGATGTTGAGTATTTCTGTGTTTCATTTGAAAATATAAAATGTCTTATTGCACCCCTAAAAGTTCACTGTGGTACGCTCAACACACATTTTGGGAACCACAGATACAGGATATATTCAGAGTAAGAAGTAGAATTAAGTAATGTTGATGGAATGGGTTTACTAAATGTATTTAATTTATGTAATGAAAATTCAACTGAAATTTACAAATTGAGGTGAAGCTACCTGATTTTAAAATAGTAATGATGAAACATTTTTGGTCAATTCTGACTACTTAAATAAAGGTTATTTTACTTATTTCTTTTTAGTAAAAATGAGACAAATGATCTGTATAATAAAGTTTACTTTAATAATTTAGCAGAGCACTTCATTCTAATGTGAGTAACACAGTGTAAGTCCAATTTAGGAAAATGTCAAACATTAATAATCACTCTTTTAATATGAAAATTATAAACTCACATATATCTGTTTTAAAACATTTGAGGCCAAGCTGTCAAAAAGTCAATATTGTATTTTTAAAAGTCCCAGAACATCCTTATTATTTTCTGCTTACCATTTACTTCATCTATCACAAATGTGAATGCATTAATAAGGGTACAAATTGCACACTTACCCAAAATAGCACATAATGACAAGTATGCTAGATTGTCAGAAAATATGGCCACCAACAAATCTTTCCATCCTTACACACCATCAAGAGGTAGAATTAATGTCCCTATGCTTTGAATCTGAACTAGACTTTAAATGCATTTTCATCATTGGAATTTTGGAAGTTAGTTACAGACTTAGGTTTTAAGAAGCTTGCAGCTTTCACATTTGTTCCACAGGGCTTGGATACTATATAAGCCTTTTCATTCTCCTGCTAGAGACCAAGGCCTAACAAGCTGAGATGTTAGACATATAAGCACAACTGCCTTGAATCTTCCAAGGACAGGAGAGTTTTTGCTAGATTCAGCTGCATGAACAATTCCAGCCAGCAGCATATGTAACAGAATTGCCTAGGTCAGCCCAAACAATCCACAGAACCATGAGCAATAATAAACATTTTTTTGAAAAATCTCCCTCTTTTAGGATTATTTGTTATGGGCAACACTCAAAGAAAACAAAGTGATACAAAAAATGGGGGTAATTTCATATTATTTTAAAGAAATGATTGACATCCATGTGTCTCTAATGTATATACATGTCTAGACATTAACAACGGATGTCTTCCAGACTATCTTTTCAAGACTGTTCTGACAAACGGATAGCCTTGGAAGATAGAGATGACTCATTGACCTGGAACAGATTTGCTTACATTCTAGGACAGTAAAAATAGAAATATCTCCTTCCCTGTAGCAGATTTGAATGACATTCCAAGGTAATAAAGATAATGTCTTTTCACTGAATGGGAGGATAGGCAAGTTGGCCAAGAGAGCGCAAAGAAGATTGGGCCTTCCATCATGGGTGTTTTATAACAATTCACACTGTGTGTGCAGGAAATACCTGGTCCTCATTTCATTACCCTGCATGAATTTTGTTTCGGGAAAGGGCAAAATATTTAATCCTGAGTACCGCTCTAGCTATGAGTAGTAAACTGCGTTGTTTGTGACCCAGGAGCTTCATAGTTTCTGCTAATATCTGTACGACTATCACAGTCTAATTCATTAGCAAAAAAACAACATATATTCTCAGATGCTTCCTAGTACCTGACAGTGACTTTCTCCCTAGTGGTACTGTTTCAAAGAGTTAGAGAGTGAGAAAACCCCTGCTACTCATACTAATTGTGTGGATTTTTATGTACCTGTAATTAAGTAATGATTGATGTGGCAATTTAGGGTAATCAAGAGGAAATATAAACTGACCTATCAACAAAGTGTTCATTTTACATAGAATGAAAATAATTACATTAGCTACTGTGAAATTATACTAACTAGTTTTATGGAGTTATGAAAAAGATTGACTAGGGTCAAGAGATCTTTTAGAGGTCAGCGCTAAATGTGTAAGTTTGTAGGTAGAGTTTTACATAAAGGAATTTAGAATCTTTTGGTTATATCTGTTGAAGCATGACAGTTGGAGAATATTTTCAGTTTTGTTTCATGGTAGAGCAAACTTTATGCCCAAGTCAGGATGTATACTGTAACTGATGAGAAAAAGTGATGAAGACAATCGAGTCGTTACGGCACACGGAATGAACCCAAACTCATGTTGCCTTTAGGTTTAATTTTGTGTGTTGGGGGGTGGGGTGTTAATTGTTGATCTGTGGATAGAGAGATTATAAGCAAATTGTCAAGAAGCTGTCTTCAAGGAGAGCTCGATGATACAAAGTTTTGGGTGGGAAGTTCACAGGTTATACTGATTTGTTTGCTTGTTAATATGTGACAAAGTCTGGATCAAAAGGGAGAAATGTCCATTTTTAAACAGGATACTGAACTCCTCTGGGGCTTAAACAGCAAAGACATAGGCAGCCTCTGGCAATAATGAGATAATCTCAACGTAATAGAGAGGACATTGGCAATCAGAAGCTACAAAAGGAGAGGAAAAGGAGATTGTTTGAGTAACATTAATTGACTGTTTTATAAGCATCAGTGAAACACTAGAAAGTAACAGGTACTTGGAGGATGCAGTGGCTTGGGATATGAATAAGACAAAGTGGGTAACTTGTCTTAATTCACATATTAGTTAAGTTTAAGAATATTTAAATTCCAGTATGTATTGTTAGATTTTAGAAGTTTTTAGTCATTGCTCTTTCTTTTGTTAGTTGGTATATATCACTAATATGAAACTTGCAGATACTGGGATGAAATCCTTTTTAGTCAAAGCCAGGAGAAAAAAAGGGGAGGGTTCATGCTTGTATGCTGGAGACAAAGACTGTCTCAAGGACTTTCTAAACTAACCCCAGATTGAAAGAACACCTACCCAATAATGGCATCTCCACCAATGAACTGGTACTAACTCTGTCACTGACTCTGTGAAACCAATGAACTCTGTTTCCAAGCAGTTTATGTGAACTTCACTTTTTGCCAATGAAAGTTTCCCTTTACTCTCCCCTCTTCAGATGCGTTTGTGGCGTGACATAGCTGTGCATCTTATGTTTTAATTCTCACTTCTAAATCCCAGATAAATTCCACATATTTGGAAGAATTTCTGATTTTTTGACTGACACTAAGAATGCCAAAATAAAGATACTTGCTTCACCCATCTAATTTTCAATATCACATATTTCTAACCAATTGAAATGCTTTTCCTGCAAGCGTATATTAATTTGGAGAGAAGGATACATATATTGAAAAGTCTTATTTTTAGAATTAATAAAATACAGAAAAATTTTATAGGCATGTGTTCTTAGTTTGATGTTTTATATTATGTGAAATTTAACATATGTGAAACTATTTCTAAAGGAAATTAGAAGGTTTTACTCAATTGTGGTTAAGTAATATGTACTGATGAATAAATCATTTTATTTAAAATAATTGAAGACATCTAGTTTTAAAATGTCATTCACCAAGCAAATAGTTTTAGTGAGATTTGGAGGTAATCTAAGCTTAATATGCATACCAAGTGATAGGTTCTTTGAAAGTACTACACAAATAAACAATAGGTTATTTTTATTTTAAATACAAAAATATTCTAAACTTGGTGAGCATAACTGGATTTCCTTACATTCTGTGACTTTATTAGTGCAGATTTTATATTTCTGTCTATTTTTTGTCATGAATAATGTGTCTTAAATATTTCAGTAAGTTGCATTTGCTATATGTTATTTTTATAGGGTTAATAAAATAAACTGTATAAACACATAAGTATTTGTAAATTTATAAATATTGATAGAAATTAAATATGTATTGTTCAAATGAGTTTAATTTTTTCTTAATGTCATAATATTGCAAGTGCTGCCATCTGCTGGATAAGAGCTATCATAGACATGGCAAAGCAAGGCAATATATGGTTCTATGTTCGATAAAAGAGAATGCCTTATAAAACTTCCAAGTTACCCCTAGTGTCTATAAAATCAGGGAATAGACCATTAAGAGATTGGCTAATATTTTTTAAATGTTTCATATATTTGGTTTTTAAATTATATCAATTCATTGATAGTTATTGATTGTGAAACCAATATCACTTCCTTGCAACCTTCAATAAATTGCACTGTGTCTTCTAAAGCGTTACAGCAGGCTCAGTTTTGGACATCAACAGATCAAGGAGTAGATGTTTTATGCATATGCCTGATACCACCAATTTTGCTTGGTTCACAGTCTGCAGGCAATTGAAAATATTATTTTGATTTCATGTTCTCAATTGAAAATACTATTTTAAATTTGTGTTCTCAGTTGAAAAATATTGTTTATCTACATATTCAAATTCATGTAAACATATACATACATACTGCATATATATGTATGTGTGTATTATATATATACATATACTCTTATATATGTGTGTATATGTATGTACACATACCCTCTACAAATTTGATATATGTATGTATCTATCATATAAAAATATAGGTTGCTAATGATTTATGTATGTATGTGATTATTCTCAAATTTTAAAGTCATTATAAAATTTTAAAAATATCCAAATATGAGGCATTTTTCTACTTTGATATTTTAAAATATCATATATATGAAATGATACTTTTACAAAGATTGTAATTAAAAGCTCTACAATAAGCCAGGCACAGCATGATCTCACTTATTGGTGGAATCTAACAAAGTTGGACTCATAGAAATGGAGAGTCGAACAGTGGTTACCAGGAGCTGGGGCAGTGAGGCTGGGGAGATGTTGGTCAAAGGATAGAAAATTTCTTTTAGATAGGAGGAATAAATTCAAGAAATCTATTTTACAACAAGATGACTATAGTTAGTAACAATGAATTGTATTCTTGAAAATTGCTAAGAGAGTAGATTTCAAGTCTTACCAAAAAAATGATAAAGAGGTGAGGTAACGCATGTGCTATTTAGCTCAACTTATCCATTCCACATAGTTCAAAACTTATTGTACATGACAAATATATGTAATTTTTATTTATCAACTGAAAAAAATACATCAGCAACCATAACAAAACAAAAAAAACCCACTTCTCCACCAGACGGCAATGTTGAGAATCTTAAAAAGAGATTTAAAAATATATTTAAATGGTTATGACAGAAATTAGAAAGTAAATGAAGTTATTTAATAATAACTAGCAAAAATAATAAATTAGTATACATTTTTCTTTAGTTATTAAAAAATCAGTGTGACAATTTTTAATTCTAGGAGTTTTAGCCAATAGGTTTTCATTAAGCGCAGACTATAAATCCTATAGCTAAAAGTTGAATAGAGGATTTATTTAATAATGATGCACTTTCTGATGTTTACATATTACACTGAAACCACCTATAAGAAACAGTAGAAACTGAATAGCAACTAAAAGAAAGAAGAAAACTCACCTCTTAAAATTACTAAAATATAGGAAAATAAAACATAATATAAAAGCCACACCAGATCTATAATAAATCATCCAAAAAGGAATTTTAAAATATTGGTATGGAGAGCAATACTGTAATATCATGTAGAAGCAAATGACATAATTTCTTAGTAGATAGCTGGGACTCAGAAAAACTGTGTAAAATAATTTGGGCCATTGAAACTAGAAAGTCAATGCAAAATTGTGAATTGCATGAATAATACAATATTCTATAGACATAAGCACTTCGGAAAACAAAAATCAATATTATTTGTTTATCTACTGAGAAATCTTAGCATTTAATGTAACAGTGGCAAAGTTATATAAAATAAATGTTAGAAGAAATTAACTGCCAATAAATTTCCGAGGGAATTTAAAATTATGCAGAGGTGACATGGAAGTCTTCATGGTCCATATAAGCCTAAAGAATATGTAGAAAATTGGTCGGGTGAAGTGGCTCACGCCTGTAATCCCAGCACTTTGGGAGGCCAAGGCGGGTGGATCACGACGTCAGGAGATTGAGACCATCCTGGCCAACATGTGAAACCCCATCTCTACTAAAAATACAAAAATTAGCTGGATGTGGTGGCATGCCCCTGTAATCCCAGCCACTCAGGAGCCTGAGGCAGGAGAATCACTTGAACCCGGGAGGTGGAGGTTGCAGTGAGCCCAGATTGCACCACTGCACTCCAGCCTGGTGACAGAGTGAGACTCTGTCTCAAAAAAAAAAAAAAAAAAGAAAATCAGTAATCAAATATGAGATAAAGAAATCTCTCTCCTCAAAGATGTAGCTCCAGTAAATATGGATAATTAATGTCTCAAACAATTTTAAATATTGGTCACTATGTTTATTTTATGGATCACTTTTTAAATGTAAAAGTATACAAGTTTACTTTCTTGTGGGATATTGGAAACCATAGCGTGGACATGGGGAAATAAAGTTGTATATGATTACTTGGGGTAAAGAGAGATTACAAGAGGTATTACTGGTAATATGAGTTGGTTCCTACTATGAAGGACCTTGAATATGTTTGGATTAATTTAAGCAAATGCTTAGCATTTGAATTTTTATCAGATTTGTGCTGTAACATGGAGATTTTAGCAATTTTGGAAGAGAGAGATTGAAGGCAAGGAGAAGGGTTACAGATTAAGACACTACTTAAGCCTGAAGATAATAAAATTTTAATCATATTGATAGCAATAAAGTAGAATAGAAAAACAGATAAGAGGGATAGCTACCCATGTAGATATGCATTTCTTTAGAAACCTGTGGAAAAGTAAGCAGAGGGACCATATAAACCATTACATCCATAATCCCTCATGGCTTTAAATCTATGACATATTCTCTTCTTGAAGGTTTTTATTCTATTGGCATGATTCAAAAGATACTCATAATTGAAAAAAAGCATGTGGAAGAAGATACATGTGGATCATGAAGTGTAGAGTTGCACTGACCTCTTCACAGCTCTTAAAATTAGAGAAGGGAGAAGACAGAAGAATTGGGTGAATGTTAAACGTTTTCTGTGTTCTAGGAAAGTATTACAGGGAACCAAATTGGTGAGGAAAAAGGCAGTGCAAGTTTGAATGGAAAATGACCCACTGAAAAAACATGGCCAATAAGAAGGGGAGATATTGGGCACACATCGTCAATGGTTCATGCTGTTTCAGAAAGCCTGAAGGAGATTGATGGGGAAAGACTGAGAGCATCAGTCTGAATTTTGTACAGAAAACAAAAGTCATTAGACATTTAAAGCGGAAAGGATTTCAATACAGGCAATGAGAGGCTTAAAAATGATTTCAATGACTAAAAGAATGAAAAGCAGGGGCTATTGCTGAAGAGTTGAGTGAAAGTCAAAGTACCACAGTTGTGTCCCTGATTCTGTTATTCTACAGTAGGAAAGCCTGTGATCAGGCACAGAAATGCTGAGACTGGGTACCACAATTGCTTTTCATTCACCAATGTCTCCACCTCATTTGAGACCAAAACAGCAGTGAGAATATAGCCTCTGTTTTACTTCATCTTCCAAATCTCCTGCCAGTGCATTTCACTGCAAAGGACTCTATATCCAGAATTCTAGTTTCAAAAGAATATAGTTTAGTTTATTATTTTCTGTTGTAGAAACGACACAGAGAAGGAGATACTAGATGACTATTAGCCAAGCCCAAAAATGTGAGTGAGGAAGATGAACTACATGATTTTAACAGTTGAGATAAACATGTCAGTGAGGATTTAGGTCCTACATAGTTACAATGCTAGTGTCTCCACCTACTCTTTTGTCTCAAGCAACGCTAATAGTAAATATTATCTCAATACTAAGACAAGAAATAATTGCACATGAGGACAGTTTGAAATTGCTCACGAGCTGCAACTTTTCTTAATACCAAAGGCATACTTTTTAACATTTTATAAATAATAATGATTAGGACATTTCTAATAACCTCAAATATGCTAACTCTGGCCCAAGGAAAAAAATTATTTTTATGAACGTTGGTAATATAGTTCATAAAACAAAAGGAATAATTTTCTTTTCAAAACATTTTTGGCAAAAAGAAAATGTGCCTGGGAAGATTAAACCTTTTCAAGACTTGAAAATCTGAAAATATCCACAAATTATTTCTAAAGGGTTGCCATTGAGTTAAAGTGATTTCAGAATTCTCTGATAAAAAATTTTATTTTTCAAAAATTTAATCATTATCTGTATAATTGTTGATGTCACTTAATATATGTGAGCCTTGTTTTTTTGAATATGCCCATGATGATAATACTAACTTAAACTTACTGGGTGACAGGCACTATGAAAAGAATTTTGCATGCATTTATTTCATTATTTTCCTGAAATATCTCTAGGTTATATAGAATTTTCTATGATAATTTTACAGAAGAAAACTAAGGCTTAGAAAATTATTTTCCAAATGTCACAAAAATTAATTTGAAGTCTGGAAGCAAGTCCAGGTCAGTGTGATTTAAGAATTTGCACTGTTTTAATTTCCATGTTACTCTGCCCTCTGTGGAATGACCAACTTGTTTGCCCAGGATCACGATGGGTGCTGGCATGTGGGTCTCAGGCAAACCCTGAACAATATAGTTTATAGACATCTGAATAATCAAGGGCGCATAGTACTCTACAGATACAAGATGGCAATGTGCAGTGGTTAAAAGTGGAACTATAAAGTAGTAGTTAAGAGCTACAAATAACTTCATAATTTTTATTCTGAGGCATAACTTAATGTAACTTTGAAATATTAATCACTCTGGCAACTAATCCTGCTTTCTTAGTTATAAATGGAAATAGTATAGTACCTACTTTTTGAATCATTGTGGTGTTCAGTTGGATTTAATTTTAAATGGAGTAACTTTAATCATAATACAGAGCCTGGCATAGGCTCACAATAGATTTTAACTGTTGGTATAAAATACTTATTTTCTGTTAGCATAGAGATATGTCTGTATTATAAAATAAAATGGACTGGGTAAAACATTATCTCCTACCCACCCCTCACTTGGCCCACCTCAAAAGATTTTGAATTTATCATTTTATTTATCACCAATGGTAAAACCTTGAAATATTCTAATGAAGGCTTTAAATTTTCAGTCATGTGTTCCTGCCAAAGAGAATGTCCAGCTGAGTGAGAGAGCATGTTACGATTAAAATCACACACATATGAACATGACTATGTTTAAATATTAAGGTTGATGTACCTTAATTACATCTAGCATTCTCAGATTTTTCTTCTCTAAAACACACATATTTACTGACCAGAATATTTAATAGGATCATCCATCATGGATTTAAAAAACGCAAAATTTAAAAATTATCTTTTTTCAGGATATCTAATCTAGACATGTTTTTTATAAGTAAACGTCTCAAAGTTACAGCATAGATTTCTGATGGACTCACTCTGAATACTACAAATTCTGATAATCAAAACTTTTTTAACCTTCAGCCTAATGAGGTTCTTCAGGAAGAACCTCAGCTCAGATCACTGGCCCCTTGTGCTACTCTCCACCAAGCTGGACCTGCTGAAATTCTGATCATTTTCCTGGCTTAGTTATGCCCTGATAGTCCTCCCTTGACAGTAACATCAGCTTTATAAGTTCTTACCAGATACCTTTTTTTTTTTTTTAACTTTCTTAGAACTATGATTTTACAGAAGCTTAGAAGTTTGAATTCTTCACTTCAGTGGCAACAGATTATATGACCACATCACAGAGACCATGAGGCATATAGCTTATCTAGTAAGAGGTACTGGAGGCTGAGTGAACAAAGAGATCAGTCTAAAAACTAACAAAGAAACACCAGAATGTTTATCCAGTTGCTAAAAAGACAATGGATATTCATACACATAATAAAATGCTTTCTTTGACCTATCCAGCTGTGGTGGGGGAGGGAGGGGTTGGCGGAAAAAAGTGCCTTGTGGGAGATTAAGTTACAGAGGACCATCAGCGCAAATATTTGTGATCCTGGTATGCCTATGACACTACATTCTTTTAGCTTTTCTTCTAATTATATGGTGCTTTCTCAATTTGCTGATAAGTCCTTAAGTATAGAGTTTACTCAGGATTTTGTGTTCAGATATTTTGAAACACTGGACAATATTTTTTCCTGCTTAAAAGTTTGAAAACATTAGCGTACATCCAATATATTACATTTCAGTCCTTTTCCTTGACATGATGCAAGCAGAAAATGTCTTTATATACTTAATTAATTGAAGCATTAGAAAAATCTAGTACTGATATCTAGTTTATATGAAGTAGAAAAAAGGAATAGCTACTTTCATACATGCATTCACAATTCATTGCCTATTATGAGATTTGGTCTGGAAGAGATTTATCTACTGGATTTTAATCATAGTAAATTCTATAGCATAATTTTGCTATAAACACACTACGTAGAAAATCTATTAAAGAAAGGGGTGACAGTTTCAACTTGTATTTTTCAGAAGAAATGCAAAACACAAAGTCACATCTGGTCTTTATAGGCCACCATCCGGCAGTTTTAAGGCATTAACCTTAAATATTTTAAAAAACAGGTTAATAGATAGTTAACGTGTAGAGGAATATTTTAAAATGAAAACATAAAACATAGTCTCATTGGGTAAGGTACTATTTGTGGTTTTAGGCAGCCACTGGGGGCTTGGAACAGATTCCCTGTTGGTAAGAGTGCACTACTGTGGTTAGTAAGGAAAAGTTTAAAAAAAAAAAAAAGGCTGTCTATTTCCTGTGTGTTTGGGTACAGGAGAATAAGCTAAAATGGTACATTTGCTGTCTTCTTAGAACTTGGAGTGTGAAGATACAGTAAAGTTAAAAAAACAAACATGGCCGGGCACCATGGCTCACACCTGTAATCCTAGCACTTTGGGAGGCTTAGGTGGGTGGATCACGAGGTCAGGAGATGGAGACCATCCTGGCTAACATGGTGAAACTGCGTCTCTACTAAAAATACAAAAAAATTAGCTGGGTGTGGTGACGCACGTCTGTAGTCCCAGTTACTTGGGAGGCTGAGGCAGGAGAATCGAACCTGGGAGGCGGAGGTTGCAGTGAGCTGAGATGGCGCCACCACGCTCCAGCCTGGGCGACAGAGTGAGAATACGTTTCCAAAAACAAAACAAAAAGACAAACATGGCTTCAAAATCCATAGCCCAAAGACTTTTGAAAAAACATTTTCTATGTTTTTTAATAATTTCTAGCTCTTCTGATTTAGGAAGATGATGCAATATGCCATTAAAGGGCTGTGGTATGATCTGAGGATTATCTATTGTCAGAAATATATGAAGTAAATATTCAAGGGAAAAAAAAGAAAAACACTAATTACTATCAAGCCTTGATTTATAACACTGAATAATCAAACATGAATTTGAAGTAATTAACATTTATTTAAATGCAAAAGAATTAAAATTTTCCTAAATACTTTAATGCATAATTTGTTAAATAATAATTATTGATTAAATGTACTAATCTTTCCCAGATACCTATGCATTGATAATGCAATTATTTAGCAAAGTCTTGTATCTCTTTAAAATTTCAAACCAAATGACTCTGATTCTAATTATTATACACATCTTAAAAAGCTAATAAAATCAAACATATGCACAATATTACTGTAAATATAAAACTAAAAGCAAATCTAAAACAAAAATGGTTGTTGTAATAAATGTATTTTTATATTTCTCATTCTTTTTACACCTTTCATGGGCTTCCATTTCTATATTTTTATAGTTCTGATAATTCTACAAGAATCTAGTTTTGTAGTTTCCCAGCACTTTACTAATCTTAAAGTATTTAAAAGAGAAAAAAGATCTAATGAAACAACTGAAGTTGCAAGGTTTGTGATGATCGGCAACTAATTCCTAATTCAAATGAATGGGTTTCCCTTTTACAGTAAACTTTGTTATTTCGATCAAACATATGCAACTTTCACACAGGTATAGGTTTATGTAATTTTGGGCCTTCCTCTGAAATTGCTTAAGTTCGTTTATTTCACTAGTACAGTTTTTCTCTGGAGCTGCAACACCATGTCTGTGCAGGTCCAGGTTCCCCAAGGGAGCACATTCGAGCCCAGTTGCTGTATCATGTGTAGACATATGTGAGTATTATGTTGCTTTTAGAATGACTATAAAGCACTGATAATTATTTCTCTTTCTTTGAAAGTAGGAAAAGATAGAAATGGGAAATCATAAATAAATTGAAAAAAGTGGGGAAAAAGTAGGTATTGTACTAGGAAGAGGGAGAAATTAAGAGCATAATTGAAACCTCACCTAAAGTCCCAAGTGTATGTCACAACATAATGAATCATTTAAGCACTGAGAGAAAAGAATATGCTATACGTAGATCTAAAATATTAATTTGGAAACCTCTACATCTAAAGAGAAGGCATAATATATTTTAAATGTTAGATATGCAAAAATATTATGGTTCTAATAAGGCTGGTATAATTGGGTAGAGAATGTTATGGAAAATTATTCAAACTGAAAAGAAAATTATTGAATACCTAACACTAAACATAATAAAATAATTGTGTGGGAGGCTCATATATTGCTGGTGGGCGTGTAAAATGATGCAGTATCATTGAAGAACAGTTTGGAAGTTCTTTAAAACTCATTTCCTGTTTAGAAGAAAGTGCAGCTCACTTCCAGTGTTCATTTAAGTTTATATAAACACACGTTTTGAGGCTGAAGCAAATTTGACCGAATTTTAATGTGAAAATAAAGGAGAAAAACTGTTCTTGGAGTTATTTATAAACATAACTTGTCTCTAATCCTTTTGTAACAGAAATGTAGATGATGACTGGCATTTAATTTTTTTTTACACGTGGTAAGTTTCAAAGCGAGGAACAACACAAAACAGAACATCACATGCTGCACAAAAATATTGCATTTCTCTCCGATCTTCTTGCCACTCTTGTCATTGTGTGGGCAGAAAACTTTGCGGGGACCAGTTGGATTCCGTTTCCCTGAATTTGGTGTTGTGCTCTCGGAGAAATGTCTTGCAGAGAGGCGAAGAGCTGTGACATCATCAGAGCATGGACGACCTCGAAGACATTGATGTCCTGGCTTGTGATGCTTTTCCAGCATACTTTCAATCAACATCAGTCTGAATTTTACTTGGCTCATTGTGTGCTCAGGATTGTCCTTTTTGAACAGGATGTAGGGGTTCAGCACTGTAATATTTAGAAGGTGGCAAAAGAATTTCTTATATCAAATCTTGTGTGTTATCTCGGGGTAAACGCTGCCGCTGCAAGCGCTACTGGTGACTGTTCTCTAGGCAAATGAAAATGTGTTGAAAACTTAACAGAGTTTAACTTAGACCCATTCCTAGATACATACCCAGGAGAAATGAAGAAGAACACACAAGATTTTGTGCACGAATGCTCATAGCAGCATTATTCCTTATAACCAAAGCATGGAAGCAACTCAAATGCCCACCAACAGATGAAAACATTAAAAAAAATATGGTATAGCTGTACAATGGGATATTATTCAGCCACACACACATGAATAAAATATTGATACATGCTACAATATGGATGAACTTTCAAAATATTATGGTAAGTGGAAAAAATCAACACAACAGGAAAAATATTATATGATCCAATTTATATAAAGTGTCCAGAGTAGGCAAATTCCTGGAGAAGGTAGTAGACAGAAGTAGATAGGAGTTGTAGCCAGGGGCTGGAAGTTGAGAAAATGGGGAATGATTCCTAAAAGATACAGGTTTTCTTTTGGGACTGATGAAGATGTCCCGGAACTAAGTAATGGTGATGGCTGCACAAATTTGTGAATTACCCAAAGCTGCTGAATTTTATACAATAGAAAGTTGAATTTTATAGCATGTGAATTATATCATAAGAATGATTAAAATGCAATAAAAATGAAATAAAATAATTGTGTAATTATTTATTTAAACCAACCTAGGTATAGGCTTATATAATTTTGTGCCTTCTTCTGAAATTGTTTAAGTTCATTTATTTCGCTAGTACAGTTTTTCTCTGGAGCTGCAACACAATGTCTGTGCAGGTCCAGATTCCCCAAGGCAGCACAGTGGAGCCCAGTTAATAAAGCTACTTAAAGAACAGGGAAGAATGTCTGGAATAATTTAGAACATTTCATGTTTCTGGATTATTGAAACCAATATTACATATTGTCAATTCTTTTGAAATTAATATATGATTTCCATGTAAATATGAGTACGGGAATTGATCATAACATTTAACTAGAGGTGTAAATATGCTAGATTGGCAAATAAATTTCCAAAAAAAAAAAAGAAGGTAAAGGAGAAGGGAAAGGGCTAAGCTTACAGATATAAAAATTAAGTGAACACATGAAAAAAACAGAACTAAAAGCTGGGAATAAATAAATTTATGTGAATCTAGAAATAAAAATACCTAATTATTTAATTTAACCTACCAGAGACTATCCTATATATTTTTATATATTAACTAAATTATATAAATAGCACTGATAAGAGTTATTTCTTATACTTTTAATATTTTGATGAGGAAAGAGAAGCACACAAAAGCTAAATAACCAGCCAAATTGACTTAGCATATATGTACCAAGGTTTGAGCCTAGGGAACCTGGCTTCAGAATTTGAGCCTATAACCATTGCACTCTATCATCTAGATATAGTGTGTGTATATATATATATAGTGTGTTAATATATGTTTATGTATATATGTACAATGAAGATTACATTTTTTATTGTTAGGAAAATGACAGAATACTTAACAAATGGTTTGGAAGTACTGTTTAGTCAGTTTTACTAAACTGGAAATAAAAATTGTTAACAAAATGAAATAAAAACAAGGCTACATTTCTGCTTCAATCATTACCTAATAAAATTTATATGAACTAAAAAGATCAATGTAAAAGCCATTAGAAATTTATCCAGCAAAATAATTTCTTAACTTTATAATCTTAAAATTTTAAATTGGGTAAGGAATGTTCTATGTAAGGCATAACATTTAAAGCTTTAAGTGACTTAAATTCCTAGGACATAGTAGGTACTTAATGCTAATTCGTTCAATGACAGTATAATGAATGAATGAATGAAATAGGATGCTTGCTATGTGACTTTCTACATATGTTCTTATGGCAGGATGTATTATGTTTTTCTTCATATATGTTCTAATCCTTCTCTAAATGAGGTCACTAGTAACTAAATCTTTTTCTGCACATAATCCTGGTGACAAAATATGAGAGAGATATTATTTGTTCACAGGATTAGACATTATATTTTGGCTAAGCAAGATAGAGCAGGTGATAGTCTTAAGTCATAATGCGAGTATATTAGAAGGGCATTCTACATGTTCAACATGGCTGGGAAAAACAAGATCTTGAGAGGGAGAGTAGATTTTCTTCTCAGAATGATTCCAAGTATAAGGGAGACTCTGAGACTCTTCATAGGGCTTATAAGCATGGTGGCATCCACTTAGGATATAATTTTCATGGTAACTAAATTGTAAGTTGTTGTGAGGAGAATTATAGTTTAAACTGATGCCATCTATTGACCTACAGTGTATACAAAGGCTGTCAAGGCAGGTGCATTAAGGAGAATATGTGAGGAACTGTTTATTCTGAAGGAATTGTTTAGAATATTCTGAAGATTAGGGGCTGCCAATTAACTTTACATAAATTCTTCACCTATTACAAGTACCTATAAGTACATTCCAGTGAATCCTTTAAGTGTATTGCATAGGCCAAATGACAAAATACTATGCACAGATCTTTGCAATAATAAAAAAAATCTTTGACTTAGTTGTAATTTTTCACACACACACACACACACACACACACACCCCTCTAAACTCTGAGACAGATGGATTGTTTTATCTCAATTGATCATATTTTAACATTGTACAAGAAAAATACTATAATGAATATGGGAAAATTAAAGCAAGATCAATAGAATTAGTCCAATTGAAATAATTTCCTTTATATCATAACATTATATAACCTAAAAAGTCTCTACAAAATAATCTTTAAAATAAATCTCCAATGACATTCTTATTTTTTTCTTATTGTAAAAACTAAAAATAGAATATTTTTCTAATATAGTCATCTAGTTTTTCAACAAATGCTAATGTTGAAACACCCATCAATTATACAATGAGTGAGATTTTACAATTAGTTATTATTTTGGAAGAACAGATACTCAGAATCCTTTAACTTCCTTTTCTTCTTTTCACCTTGTGCTAGTTGTCAAGAGAGGAGCATCATTTTATTATTCTACATTGCTTTTTTACTAATTGTTCACCAGCAGCTTTTATAAACCCAGTTCTTTAGGTATATAATTTACTGTCATGTGTTTAATTAAGAATATACTACTATCTTTCCCCATGGCACTTATGTCTAGATGATTTAAAGTATTGTCTTCAGGATTTTTTAACCCAAAACATATTAAGCATTATAAAACAAGCTCCTAATCTTTACTTCACATCTTTTTCTGTGTTCAACATTATGATCTCTAAAAAAGCCTTTCAGCTATTCTTGCCTTAAGGAGACTCTCTTAGATGGAACACCTGTGAAATAGAGGAAATTATAGATATCATAAAAAAGGCAAAAAGCAAAATTAAAGTGTGAATAGAATTCAGTTTTACTTTATCTGGCATATTTCTTTTTATAACCACTAGAAATTTTGGATATCCGTAATGTGTAATATAGAAATCCATAAAGAAAAGGGGTAGATATATTCCCCATTAAGACTGCTACCTCAAAGGATTGCTAAAACTGTTTGTTTTTGGCAGAAAAACAAAAATAATTAAATATTACCATTGACTTTAAGAAGCTTTCTTTCTCTTTTCAGTCTAACTTTCTTGCTGTTGGTTCTTGAAATTTCAGTAAAAGCAACAATGAGGCTATAAGCAAGTATCATTATAAACAATGACATAAACATATTGACTAAAAAATTTGCTAAATTATTTCAATGAATATTTCAATGGAAATATTTTTAAATTACTAAGTTAAAATGAAGACAGTCTGTATAAGATATAAAATTAGAAGTATTAGCTTGGATGCTTTTTTCTGCAATTTATCTGCAGACTAGTGAAATAGATTACTCCTCTTTCATAAATCTAAAACTAAAAGCAAATAGTTATCTAAGGTGTTCTCAGAAATAAAATACACAAATATGTCTTTAGCACCTTAGTATCCTCACAGTATCTCTGACCATCTCGGTTAAGCTTCAGTTTCTTAGAGACATGCTTTAGATGAAATACTGCAGTCATTACTCTCTTTCAAAAACCCATAATATCACTACACTTTTATTGTGCAGAAGACATTGACATTTTCTTTCACAATGACACTAGAATTACTGACTAATACCACTCCAGGGCTGTCTGAAACTACACTTCAAAGCAGGTGCTTACCCTTTTCTTACTTTATATCCTTTACAGACTGTCTTCAGTTTAAGAGTTAGTAATTCAAAAATAATTCCGTTGAAATCTTCATTGGAATAATTCAGCAGTATTTTCAGGATCTAGGACATCAAGAGTAATATAAGAAAAGTTGTTGGAAGTTTTTGGGTTTTTTTTTAAGATGTTACTAAAAGTGACTTTAATTTTTTTTAACACTAAGTACAGAGAAAACTCTATTAGATTAAATATATACCATCCAGTAATATGTGAATCTTAGTACACATATATTTAAAATAATTACAATAAGTATGCATCAAATCTTATCTTCAGCAATTTTGTAACATTCTGATATTTTCTCATAGGGAAATTTATCCAAGAAGAGAAAAAATACAACAAATTTGGAAAACACACAGATCTGATATATGACATATTTCTAGAGTTGAGACTGGCTACATGGAATGTCTGTAAATCTAGAAAACTGTGATATGATTTGAAACATACTTGAAAGAGTTATTAGGATTCAGTTAAGCTCTATTTCTTCAGAATTCAAATAATCTAATTATTCTTGCTCTGGTGAAGGACAGTATAAAAAGACACTTTCAACTACTTTTTGCCAAAGTCATTACTTCATTTATTTGGTGAATATTTGTCATTTGTCCATAGGCTACAGATAAAATGTGCCTCAAAATAAATAAAGTTCTCTTCTCAAAGCTCATAGTACAATGGAGATAACATTTTTTAAAAAATCCATAAGGTACAAGAAAAACATCCATTTTTTCAGATTAGCAAAAAGAGAATAAGCTCCATATGTAGAAATAAACAGTGCACTGATATTGTGAAATAACCTATTCCAATAGCAAACAATTTCAGCTTCTTATTTATTTTAAATGAATATAAATTACGTTGTTCATAAATGCCTTTTACAGTATTATTGTTGGCAAATAATGTGAAGCTTATAGTATAGTGCACTTACTTTACACATAGGCCCATCGGATCCCAAGGTCCAAGATTTCAGTTACAATAAACTGATGCAGGTTTGCTAAATTTTAAATCCAACTTACAAGGGATGTGAAGGACCTCTTCAAGGAGAACTACGAACCATTGCTCAACGAAATAAAAGAGGACACAAACAAATGGAAGAACATTCCATGCTCATGGGTAGGAAGAATCAATAGCGTGAAAATGGCCATACTGCCCAAGGTAATTTATAGATTCAATGCCATCCCCATCAAGCTACCAATGACTTTCTTCACAGAATTGGAAAAAACTACTTTAAAGTTCATATGGAACCAAAAAAGAGCCCGCATTGCCAAGTCAATCCTAAGCCGAAAGAACAAAGCTGGAGGCATCACGCTACCTGACTTCAAACTATACTACAAGGCTACAGTAACCAAAACAGCATGGTACTGGTACCAAAACAGAGCTATAGACCAATGGAACAGAACAGAGCCCTCAGAAATAATGCTGCATATCTACAACCATCTGATCTTTGACAAACCTGACAAAAAGAAGAAATGGGGAAAGGATTCCCTATTTAATAAATGGTGCTGGGAAAACTGGCTAGCCATATGTAGAAAGCTGAAACTGGATCCCTTCCTTACACCTTATACAAAAATTAATTCAAGATAGATTAAAGACTTAAATGTTAGACCTGAAACCATAAAAACCCTGGAAGAAAACCTAGGCAATACCATTCAGGACATAGGCATGGGCAAGGACTTCATGTCTAAAACACCAAAAGCAATGGCAACAAAAGCCAAAATTGACAAATGGGATCTAATTAAAGAGCTTTGCACAGCAAAGGAAACTACCATCAGAGTGAACAGGCAACCTACAGAGTGGGAGAAAATTTCTGCAATCTACTCATCTGACAAAGGGCTAATATCCAGAATCTACAAAGAACTCAAACAAATTTACAAGAAAAAAACAAACAATGCCATCAAAAAGTGGGCGAAGGATATGAACAGACACTTCTCAAAAGAAGATATTTATGCAGCCAACAGACACATGAAAAAATGCTCATCATCACTGGCCATCAGAGACATGGCAAATCAAAACCACAATGAGACACCATCTCACACCAGTTAGAATGGCGATCATTAAAAAGTCAGGAAACAACAGGTGCTGGAGAGGATGTGGAGAAACAGGAACACTATTACACTGTTGGTGGGACTGTAAACTAGTTCAACCATTGTGGAAGTCAGTGTGGCGATTCCTCAGGGATCTAGAACTAGAAATATCATTTGACCCAGCCATCCCATTACTGGGTATATACCCAAAGGATTATAAATCATGCTGCTATAAAGACGCATGCATACATATGTTTATTGCGGCACTATTCACAATAGCAAAGACTTGGAACCAACCCAAATGTCCATCAATAATAGACTGGATTAAGAAAATGTGGCACAGATACACCATGGAATATTATGCAGTCAGAAAAAATGATGAATTCATGTCTTTGTAGGCACATGAATGAAGCTGGAAACCATCATTGCCAGCAAACTATCACAAGGACAAAAAACCAAACAGCACATGTTCTCACTCATAGATGGGAACTGAACAATGAGAACACTTGGACACAGGAAGGGGAACATCATATACCGGGGCCTGCTGTGGGGTGGGGGGAGCGGGGAGGGATAGCATTAAGAGATATACCTAATGTAAATGACGAGTTAATGGGTGCAGCACACCAACATGGCACATGTACACATATGTAACCTGCACGTTGTGCACATGTACCCTAGAATTTAAAGTATAATAATAAAAAATAATAATAATAAAAAGTGGAACCTGAGGTCATTATGTCCCTTCTGGAGGACCCCAGAAGTGTTCTTACTTGTTCATTGCTGACTGATGCTCTTCCCTTTGTTCTGGTTATTGCTGTAAATAGAGCAGAGTCACTTAAAATATGCATAAAAAATCAAACTCAACCAATATTTATGAAGTTCCTTATAAATACCAGATATTGTATCAACAATGCTCAATAGATTTTCCACAAGAAAGGTTAATGCTAATTACAGGCTCAGACACAGGCAGTGGACAACTATGTTTTGTATAAGACAATCGTCAACTTTTTTATTCCCTACTCTAATTTGACTTTCAATTTGTTCTAATCATCTGATCAGGCAGCATTTCCTGGAATAGGTTTTTGAAAGTTTCAGAAAGGCAGTCATAGACACATAAAATTTAGATGGAAGGGATTATTTCAAAGTCACCTGTTTTTAGTACTCTTTTGCTTATCAAAAGACAGCATTTGCTTTGAATAAATATAATTTCAAAAGAATAAAAAGAATGAATTATACCAGTATTCAGAAAATAAAGCATTTATTAATTCATCAAAGTGTCAGCAAGGCAGATACCTAAATATATTACCATGGCATGTCTGGGAAACAATAGAAATATTAATAGATAAACTGTGTCTCTCTTATCCACATTTCTTTTTTTTTTTTGAGACGGAGTCTCGATCTCTCACCCAGGCTGGAGTGCAGTGGCACGATCTTGGCTCACTGCAAGCTCCGCTTCCCTGGTTCACGCCATTCTCCTGCCTCAGCCTCCCGAGTAGCTGGGACTACAGGAGCCCGCCACCACGCCCAGCTAATTTTTTGTGTTTAGTAGAGACGGGGTTTCAACGTGTTAGCCAGGGTGGTCTCGATTTCCTGACCTCGTGATCCGCCTGCCTCGGCCTCCCAAAGTGCTAGGATTACAGGCATGAGCCACTGTGCCCGGCTCTTATCCACGTTTCTCTTTAACTTCCTCTCCTTTATAGAGTTTCTTTATAGATGTTTCTTTACTTGGCATTGACTCATTACCACCAAGTGATTTTATCACATAGTTCAGCCTCTATACTTTTCACTGTTACCCAAATTTTTTTCTAAATGTTATTTCCTTCAGTAAAAATTAAATTATGTGAATCTAATTTCCTTTGAACTTAACTATATTATAGGAATTAAGAAATTTTACCATACTAAGTGGAATAAGAATATTAATGGGTTTATATATTATCCTACCTTTACTCTTTCTCACTCTTATATTAGAAATTAAGTGACTTCATTTAAATACTTTATTTAAAATAAACTGTACTAATCTAAATTGTTCAGATGATGAGTTTTGGCAAATGTCTGCATCTGGGTATCTACCTATATTTGCAGAGAATGTGTTTGCATCTATCCTGCTTGGGGTTTCCCGAGCTCTCAATTTTGAGTGGAAGTCCTTCATCAATTTTTGAAGGCATTCAGCAATTATCTCTTTATTTCTCCTGTCTAATTTTCTCTCTCTTCTCTTTTATTGCCACACAATAACATAGGAGCTAAGTCATTCAATTTGTTTCTTTCTTTTTTCTTTTCTTTCTTTTTTTTTTTTGAGATGAGGTCTCACTCTGTTGTCCAGGTTGGAGTGCAGTGGCTAATTATGCCTCTTCAGGCACAATTGTAGTGTGCCAAAGCCTCAAACATTTGTGCTCAAGTGATTCTCCTGCCTCAGCCACCAGAGTAGCTGAGAATGCAAGTGCACCCAGAGTAGCTGAGACTGCAGGTGCCCGGCTTAGGCCATTTCATTTTTTAAAAATGTTTTGTTTTTTGGTCTTATTTCACTGTTTTCCAGTATAAATATTTTCTATTGACATAAAGTTCATTGTCTTTTTTTTTCATTGTTGAGTCCAATCTAATTTTTTTATCAATGAATTCTTTATATATGATCTTATGTTTTTAACGTTTTGTTCTATTTTATTTTTTAAAAATTGGTTTCTATGTCTCTAGTGGAACTCCTCATATTTTCATACATATTGTTCACAATTTTCAGTAGATATTTACATAGCATTTTTATTGTACTTGAAATTCACTTTCTGATAATTTTAGTATCAGAGACATCTTTGCTTCTACTGATGGTTCTTCTTATGATCATGTGTTATATTTTCTTGCTTATTTATGTGTCTTTTAAAATGGAAGTAATATTGTTAAACTTTTTAAAGAACATGCTCTGTCTTGTGCCAGGTTACTTGAGTGGGAAGCTGAATCAATCTTACCTGTATTTGAGTAGAATCTGGTAATTTTCGAAAGTTTAATTTGATTGGGTTTACCATTGGGTTCAAATGTTTTTACAAATAAGATAAAAAAATTCTCTTCTGTGGGACTTTGATTCTGAAGAAAGCTGAGACTCCAAAGATCTTTCTGTTCTTTACAGCTGAGCCTCCCCTTTCCAGACTGTAGATCTCTCTGTGCTCTATATCCCACCATTAGCTTTGTCTTCAGTGGGGAAATATTTTATTTCTCTTTAGTCTTGACCTATGCTTTCTATGCCTATAGAGAGTTCTTTGATGGAATATGTAAGAAGAATTTCTCTCAGCACTTCTGTCATCTCTCTTTATCTCCTTCTGTGGTGGGTTTGCCTCCTCTCAACAATGCCAATAATGAGAACAAAATTATCTACTCTCGTCTGAAAAGCTGATCACTTTCTGTAAATGAGTCCACTTCTGTGTCTTTGCGTATTGGTTCTCTGATAGTTTCAGAGAAACTATGATATTTTAGTGGGTCTGTCTTGTTATGTGGTTAGTATGAAAGTAACATATTGCAACGATCTCCAACGCAACAGGAACAGAAGTCTCTCTCTCTGTCTCATGAGCAATATATTTTTGCTGGCTTTTTGTTGTTGTTGTTAACTTAAGAAGTTAATTTAATAGCAAGACCTTCCATCCAGTTAACCGAGATGCTTTGAAGCGTGATGGCTGGCTGACTGTGTATATATAGCTCTTACTGCTTCTTTTTAGGCCTGATTGTTTTGAAATAACCTAGTTTTAATATTTTCAGAAAAAATCCATGTTATGATACAGCTATTCAATATTGAATTATTATTGAAATCTGGGCATTTCTCCTTATGTGACCTTTGTTCAGTTAAAGTGTCTTTATTTGTACTTAACTTTTTTCCATATCCTCAAATACCTTTATAGAATTCTCTTAATCGTATCCTATTTAAAATATGCTCAAGAGAAAATTTATAATGGTATTTACATTTCATGTGATTTACTATTCTTTTTAGGTACTTTATATAAAATATTTCTAATTTTTATCCATCACATTTTAAACTTGATAGAATTTTTCAGGGTTGCAATGAAACCCATTTTCTGTTTGCCATCCAACAAGAAAGGAAAACAGGAAGAAAAAGTAAGCTATCAAGGTTCAGAAAAATCTGATGTTAAGCCTGGTTATCTGTTATTTTTCTTTTGAGAGTTTCTGTTTTTAAATTATAGAAACAATAATCATTGTGCTTTAAATGCCTGTCAGGTGTAAAATCTAGAATCCATTAACAAACAGAACAGGTTTGAACATGTGCACTTATGAGAATAATTTTAAAAATGTTATATAATTTACAACCATCTCCTCTAAAACTGCCAAAATAACCAAAAATTATTTTACCGATTTATGAAAAATATTATAATCATTTTATCCATCATCATTCACAAAATTATATTATAATAACTTCATTAAGGAAAGCACTTGCTGATTCGCATCAGTTTAGGAAATCTTATACTTGCTACTTTTTTCCTTGACATGGTTTAAATAGCACTTAGCTTGGTGTACTCTGCAATATACTCAGGAGGAATTGCTAAAGTACTAAAATATTCATGTTTTGATGCATTGCACTTATTCCTCAGTGCCTTCTCAGTTTTGTAAGAACAAACCTAAAAGTAGCTATAGAAGTATCAGCAGTATCAGGTCTGTCAAAATAAACTTTATAAATGGAGTGTTTAGGAACATTCTGATGAGTTTGCCAAAAAATACCCTACTGGAACTAACAAACTTGGTAAATGTCTTAGACTTATAGAACACATAGAAAAATAAAAGGTTATGATTTTAATAGTTGTAGCCATGTAATAATATATATATTGGGGAACAATGTTTGGAAAATTATTTCTACTTATAAGGTTATTGAAATGTAAGTTATTATACTGTATTCAAGCACCATGTCCATATGACTCTGAAAAACAAAATAAATTAACATGAAAATTAATGGGATTTGGATTACATTTTTCTTTCTTCAATTAGTATACATGTTGATAAAACTTCTTAGATGTTTGGTAATTAAATGTATTTTGTATCAATATGTTAAAAATTTACAGCCAAAAACATACAGAAATCGTTTAAGTGGTGAGGATATAAATACACTAGTTCTCTATAACTATAAGGGTTTAGATAATATTAACCATAAGCTACTATATCTAAATTTCATCTAGTCATAGAAAACCTCAAATAGCAGTGTCTTGGAAACTTTTCCAACACTATACTTACAGAAGGGTGATGTTTAAAATTGTTCTAGGAAATTCTGCTTTAATTCACCTTTTGTAACATAATTGTCAAAAACTTTCAGTATTTTTGCTACTTTGAGTGTAGTTATATTTTTAATTAAATACAACACATTCACCCCCACCACAAATACAAACACGATTACTCACTGAGCATATTTTAAGTAGGTATAATTTTTCTTTTACCTCATGGTCAGTCACTGAATCTTATAAATATGTGTATTAGTCTGTTCTCATGCTGCTAATAAAAAAAGCATTCCTGAGACTGTATAATTTATAAAAGAAAGCGGTTTAATTGACTCACAGTTCCACATGGCTGGGGAGACCATGCAATCATGGCAGAAGGCAAATGAAGAGCAAAGTCACATCTTACATGAAGGCAGGCAAGAGAGAGTGTGCAGGGGAACTCCCCTTATAAAACCATCAGATCCCAGGAGACTTATTCATTTTCACAAGAACAGCCCCTGTGGATCATTACCTCCTACACAGTCCTTCCCATGACATATGGGAATTATGGGAGCTACAAATCAAAACGAGATTTGTGTGGGGACACAGCCAAACCACATCATTCTTTCCATGGCCCCTCCCAAGTCTCATGTCCTAACACTTCAAAACAAATCATGTCTTCCCAACAGTCCCCCAAAGTCTTAATTAATTTCAGCATTAATTCAAAAGTCCACAGTCCAAAGTCTCACCTGAGAAAAGGCAAATCCCTTCAACCTATGAGCCTATAAAATCAGAAGCAAGTTTGTTACTTCCTAGATACAATGGAGGTACAGGCATTGGGTAAATAAACCTGTTCCAAGTGGGAGAAATTGGCCAAAATGAAGGGACTACAGGACCCATGCAAATCCAAAATCCAGTGGGGCAGTCAAATCTTAAAGCTCCAAAATGATCTCCTTTGACTCCATGTCTCTCATCCAGGTCATGCTGATGCGAAAGATAGATTCCCATGGTCTTGGACTGCTCCTCCCCTGTGGCTTCGCAGGGTACAGCCCCACTCCTGTCTACTTTCACAGGCTGGTGTTGAGTGTCTGTGGCTTTTCCAGGTGCACAGTTCAATCTGTCAGTGGATCTGCCATTCTGGGTTCTGGAGGATGGTGGCCCTCTTCTCACAGCTCCACTAGGCAGTACCCCAGTGAGAACCTTGTGAGGGGGTCCCACCCACATTTCCCTTCCACACTGCCCTAGCAGAGGTTCTCCATGAGGGCTCCATCCCTTCAGCACACCTCTACCTGGATATCCAGACATTTCTATGCATCCTGTGAAATCTAAGCAGAGGTTCCCAAACCTCAATTCTTGACTTCTGTGTACTCACAGGCTCAACACCACGTGGAAGCTTTCAAGGCTTGGGGCTTGCACCCTCTGAAGCCATGGCCTGAGCTGTACATTGTCTCCTTTTAGCTATGGCTGGGATGCAGGGCACCAAGTCTTGAGACTGCACAAAGCAGCAAGGCCCTGGGTCTGGCCCACAAAACCATTTTTCTCCCGCTAGGCCTCGGGGCCTATGATGGTGGGGCTGCTGTGAAGATCTCTGACATGCCCTGGAGACATTTTCCCCATTGGCTTGGCAATTAACATTTGGCTCCTTGTTACTTATGCAGATTTCTGCAGCAGGCTTGAATTCCTCTTCAGAAAATGAGTTTTTCTTTTCTATTGCATCACCAGACTGCAAATTATCTGAACTTTTATGTTCCACTCCCTTTTTAAACATAAGTGTCTCCTTCAAACCATATCTTTGTGATTATGTAAAACTGAATGCTTTCAACAGCACCCAAATCAACTCTTAAATGCTTTGCTGCTTAGAAATTTCTTCCAGCAGAAACCCTGCATATTCTTTCTCAAGTTCAAAGTTCCAAAGATCTCTAGACAGAGGTAAAGTGCCACCAGTCTCTTTGCTAAAACATTGCAAGAATCACCATTATTCAAGTTCCCAAGAAGTTCCTCATCTCCACCTGAGATGAGTAGCATTTGGTCAAAGTCATCCAATAAGTATCTAGGAAGTTCCAAACTTTATCCCACTTTTCTGTTTTCTTCTGAGCCATCCAAACTCTTCCAATCTCTGTCTGTTACATAGTTCCAAAGTTGCTTCCACATTTACAGGTATCTTTACAGCAGCGCCCCACTCCTGGCACCAATTGACTGTGTTAGTCTGTACTCACACTGCTAATAAAGATTTACCTGAGGCTACATAATCTATACAGGAAAGAGGTTTAATTGACTCACAGTTCCATATGGCAGGGGAGACCTCACAATCATGGTGGAAGGCAAATGAGGAGCAAAGTCACGTCTTATCTGGCAGGAAGCAAGAGAGTGTGTAGGTGAACTCCCCTTTATAAAACCATCAGATCTCATGAGACTTATTCATTATCATAAAAACAGCACAGGAAAGACCTACCCCCATGATTCAGTTACCTCCCACATGACATGTGGGAATTATGGGAGCTAAAATCAAGAGGATATTTGGATGGGGACACAGGCAAACCACATCAACATAATTCCTTAATATTGATTTAATCCATTATTTATTCATGTATTAAACTGTTCTTAATTTTTTCTTTTGATATCTTTAGTGAATACTTTGAGCTGATAATTTAAAATATCTTTTAAAAAATTTCACCAATTAGCTTCACAAATTTTATCAATAAATGTTATTACCTCACAAGTTAAAAGGCAATCACTGAGTATAAAGGATGTTTGCATTATATAAGTAGTAAATATTTATGTAACTACTATATATGCATTTATTTATCATCTATTTAGCTACATCAATGTATCTAATGATGTAGTACATCACTGCTATCTTTTTAGATACTTCAGTGACTTTGACGTTTTTATATCCCCAGCAAATTTTTGGCTTTTCTCTTGAACAGTGTTTGTTATTGCCTGTCGTTTGTTACAAGCCATTTTAACTGGGATGAGATGATATATTATTAAAGTTTTGATTTGCATTTATCTGATGTATTAGTCCATTTTCACACTGCTGATAAAGACATATCCTAGACTAGGTAATTTATAAAGGAAAGAGATTTAATTGGCTAACAGTTCCACATGGCTGGGGAGGCCTCACAATCATGGTGGAAGGCAAGAAGGAGCAAAGTTACATCTTACATGGCATCAGGCAAAGAGAGAATGAGAGTCAAGTGAAAGGGAAACCCCTTTTCAAACCATCAAATCTCATGAGACTTATTCACTACCCCAAGAACAGTATGGGGGAAAAAACGTCATGATTCAATTATCTCCCACTGGGTAACTCTCACAACACATGGGAATTATGGAAACTATAATTCAAGATGAGATTTGGGTGGGGACACAGAGCCAAACAATATCATCTGATAATCAGTGATGTTGAGCACCTTTCATATGCCTGTTTGCCATTTGTATGTCTTCTTTTGAGAAAAATCTTTTCAAATTGTTTGCCCTTTTTAAAAAGTCATGTGATTAGATTTTTTCCTATACAGTTGTTTGAGCTCTTTATATATTCTGGTTATTATTCTGTTTCGCAGGAATGTAAAATTAGCTGGGGACTGCTCAAAGATTATTTTTTAAGGATTGCTGAAAAACTATGCATGTGGCTCTTGTGAATATTTTATGCGTATTTACAAGTGCAGCATATAAAAATATTACTTGACAAGGTGTTACATTACCGACAAAGGACTCCTGTAATTCAAAGACAATCACCTATAATAAGCTGCTGATATCTAGATTCACCAGTAGTTGAAAATGAGGTAAAGGATCTTTGTTGACTGCAAAAAGGAACAGCATCTATTGTTGATGATAAATCATTGTGTCTGTATGCTTGTGCAAAATATAGTATGTATATATCTTTCATTAAATTTTTGGGACTCCATCATTATTTTCTAAGTTTAGATAGCACTTTTAGAACTTTACTATCATGTGCTTTTTGTTTCTGGTTTTTCTTCTCTCCTCCATACTGTAATATTATGCATTTTTCTTCTCTCTTTTTCCACAATATCAACTGAGTGAAAAAAGTGGGTTAAAGTAAAATCACAGTTAGTAGAAAATAAAGTAAAAATAGAAAATAGTACTGAAATATACAAGCACATATACTCATACAATGGGATATTTTATTTGTATTGGACTGATTACCTTACTGGAAGGGACTGTATTTTGTGGAAGGTTTGATAAACTTGGTGATTGTTTGTACTCTTGCTACAAATCATTGTTGGCAATGTAAGCCCTTCTGAAGCAGCTGCTGGGGAGTCGTCTGCTGCAGCAAGGGGGTGGGGGTGAGGCTGAAGCCATGTGCTACATGGGTCTGGCAGGAGCAGGATACAGGTGACAGCCCCACCCCCTATGAGTTGGCAGGACTCCCCTGTCTCCCAGGTGCAGCTGCAGCAGCCCAGGCATAGATCCAGACCCGGGCGCCCCTGTGCTCTAAGAGGTTTGGGAAGTCCCTGGTCCTGAAGGTTCTGAAGTGCCTACTCCCACTCTCTGGCCTCTCCCCAACCCCAAGTGCCCACTCCTGTGCTGAGCAAAGTTTTGGCCTAGCCCGGGCACTGTCTTGACCTGGTTGGGTGTGTGTGTACTTGGGTCAGTGCTGACACCCCAGCCCCCTACTGCCTCAGCCACCTTCAGACTTTGGACACTAACGAACATGGGAGGGATGCTGGGTAAGGGCTGAGGGCAGCTTGGTGTGGGCCAGCAGGCACCCCTCGGCCTGAACTGCCTGGGCACCTGGACAACATGTTGATGGCAGGAGGCAGACAGGTTCCTGGGTGGAAAGGGGTGGGTCCCTCGTGAAATCCAACCTTCAAGACAGGGATGGCCTGAAGCCCGGGGGCCAGGCTGCCAGCTCTGGGTGGAGACTGCAGCTGGGAGTGAGAACTTATGGTGCTTTTTAGGGGCCCACCCATGGGCCAATCAGCATGCACTTCCTCCCTCTGAGCCCATAGAATTGATTCAGCCAGACTCAGAAAGATGTCAGGACTACCAGCTGAGGGTGGAACTACCCACTTCTAGTCTCCCTGACAGTGGGAGACCACTGGTCTCCTCTCCACTGAGAGCTGTACACTCATTGGGATGACCTGCCTGCAGAAAGGAGCTACCTAAAAAGGAGCTACCCACTTTGGGTCTCCTGAGAGCTGTTCTGTCGCTCAATGAAAGCTCCTCTCCACCTTACTCACCTTCCAGTCATCTGCATACCTCATTCTTCCTGGACATGGGACAAGAACTGGGAGACCACTGAATGGCAGGACTGAAAGAGGCGTAACACAAACAGAGCTGAAACACTTCCCCCACTTGTCGTGTTGTGGGTGATAAGGAGAGAAGGGCTGTGGCCCTTAGAGAAGCCCAGACCTAGGGAACCTCCAAGCCAGGGCTGTGACACCCTCTTTACGGCTCTGCAGTTCCTGGCCTCTCCAAGCTTCTGGGCACCACCAGGTTTCCTCATACCCACAGTGGAAGACACTTGCGTTACACCTGGTCCAGCCGCAGCCTCGCACAGGGCCAGCATCTGTATTGGTGCTTGGAGCTCCCTGCCCTGTGGCAGACGGCACTCCTGGCTGTGCACAGTGGCCAGACCCTGTGCTCATTCACACTCGCCTTACTGCTCTGTGCCGGCTTGCCCTTGGTAGACATAGGATCTCTGCAGGTAGTGCGAGCTGAGTGCAGCCTGTGGGGCTGAGTGGGTGGAATGAGCCTAGCAAGCCCCAACAAAAGCACCCTTGGCCACAGAGTTTTCCAGCCAGAAAAGTGACACCCTAAGGATCCTGTGACATCATTGTGAGAGAAAAGTTCTTAAAATATAGTAATTTTGTGTGTTTTTTTCTCATAAAACAAACCACCACAATAAAAACAGGGCCCCAAATTCAAGAGGAAACTCAAAAACATATTAGTAAACACACACGTAACTCATGCTGCTGCAGCAGTGGGTGAAGAAGGAGATTTGCTTCTCTAGGGACTGTATAGATGAGATTTTAACACCTGTGCAATGTCAGGAGATGCAGCTCTCTCCTTATGTATGTCCTAGAGCTGGAAAATTTTAAATTTGTCTGAAAGGGATTTTTAAGAAAAGAGAATATAGAATACACAGAGGTACTGTTTTTCAACGCTTTCCAAAAGTTGATCATGACTTTTTAGTTAATTGGAATACCGTCTTCTCATTGTTGAAGTGAAGAATTTGTAGTCATTTTTAACTTCTCCCTTCCACTCAAATACCTCATCCAATAAGTCAGCAAATCCAATATGTCAGTATATAGATTTTACTTTTAAAATATATCCAAGATCTCACCACATTTTACTGCTTCCAACTCTAACACCCCAGAATTAGCTCATATCATTTGTCACCAGACAAATGACCTTCATGCTTCTATCCAATCTCCCTGCACTGTCTCCTCAACAGGGTAGTCAAAATCTTACTCCTCTGTTTAAAATACAGTCATATGTCAATTAACAAAGGGACACTTCCTAAGAAATGCATATTTAAGTAATCACCTGAATTCTATAATCATTGTTTGTGTGAATATCATAGAGTGTACTGACAGAAACCTAGATGGGCTAGCCTACTCCATGCCTAGGCTACATGGTATAGCCTATTGCTTCTAGGCTGCAAAACTGTACAGAATCTTACTGTACAGAATACAGCAGGGAATTATAACACAATGATAAGTATTTGTGTATTTAAGCACACATTAGCATAGAATAGGTATAGTAAAAATCTGTTTAAAAAGATTTAAAAATGGTACACTTACCATGAATAAAGATTGCAGAAAATGGAAGTTGCTCTGTATGAGTTGGTGAGTGAGTGTCTACGAATGTGAAGGCTTAGGATATTACTGTACACTACTGTAGAGTTTATAAACCCTATACCATTCGCTACCCTGAATTTATTTAAAAAGACATTTTTTCTTCTTCAATAATCAATTAGCCTTAGCTTATTATAACTTTTTTACTTTATAAATTTGAAATAAAAAAAAATTTGATTCTTTGGTAATAATGCAAAACACAAACACATTGTACAGCTGTACAAAATATTTCTTTCTGCATGCCTGTATTCTATAAACATTTTCCTCTTTAGCACAAATTATTTTAATTAAAAACAAAGACATGAACACAGACATTAGCCTAGGCCTACAAGATCATTAATACATTTGTCTACGCTTCCACATCTTGTCTCACTTAAAGGTCTTCAGGGGCAATAACATACATGGTGCTGTCATCTCCATGATAACAGTGCCTTCTCCTGGAATATATCCTGAAGGACCTGCCTGTGGCCGTTTTACAGTTAACATTTTTTTAATAAGTAGAAGGAATACAATCTAAAATAATGATAAATGGTATAATATAGTAAGTGCATAAACTAGTGACAGTCATTTATTATCATTACCAAGCATTATGTACTATACAGAATTGTATGTACTATACTTTTCTATGATTGGCAGTGTGGTATGTTTGTTTATACCAGTATCACCACAGACATGTGAGTAATGCATTGGGCTACAATGTTAAGACAGCTACGACATCAATAGGCCCTAGGAATTTTTCAGCTTCATGTTAATCTTAAGGGACCACCATCATATGTGCAGTCTGTCCTTTACCAAAACATTGTATGCAGCACGTTGCTGTAAATGCCAAGGATCCCCATGGGTTCTCTAAAATTATTTACAATTGCCAGGAAAAGTCTTTAAAATGGCCAAGGCCTTACCTGACTTGGCTGTTTGTTATTCTCTCTGCATCCTCAATTGTCCTCCTCTCATTCAACTCACTTCCTCTGCAATAGATTCTTTTCTTTTTCTATAACACACAGATATCCTTCTGCCTCAGGGCCTTTGCACCCATTGATACACTAGCATGAGAAAGCCTTACCTCCAGATATCCATCTTGCTTTCTCTTTCATGGTTTAATCCACTTTCTCAAATTTGGCCTTTTCAGGCTACCTGAATGAAAACTTTATTATCTCAACTCCAGGACTCATTATTCTAATTCTCTTTCTCATCTTTTAGCATCTAAATATTCCATGTGAATATGTAAAGTATTTAATTATTTTCTTTATTTCTTGTTTTCCCTCACTATTAACTTTTGTGGGAAAGAATTTTTGATTTTTCACTTATTTGTGTGCATATGTATATTTTAAAAACTGCTTGGAGCTCAGACCAGAGCCTGACACAGAGTAGATACTCAATGAATTCTTGTTAAAAATTAGTAATCAGACATTTTAGAAGTATTTTTACTCTTCTGTAAAAAAAATTCGGAACCTGGTCAAAAGTAACAGGATAAAATATAGAACAAAATTTCAAAATTTACAGCTCTTCTATTCCTAAATTGAAAGCAAAATTTAGAAATTATCAATAAAATGTCTTCCACTTCACAGTTAGTTTTAAAAATTGCTAAATTGATATAACTAGATAAATTGGTAAAATATTATAAAACTTTTTCTTTTACTATATAAAAAATTTAATTTTCAAATAAATAATTGGTATACTACCCCAAACACTTTAATACTAAAATGCAGCTTAAAACATCGAATCCTATTGAAAAATAGGTCTCATTGCATTTTTATAAACCATGAAAATTTGCTTCAATGCCTGAGTACAATCTACATACATCACCTATTTTGAAGTTAATGAATGTATTAATCACATATAAGAGCGTAGTACTAGAGAAATACATAATCTCATTTTCTTTCATCTATGGGCAAAACGGTTGCCTTATATATTATGAAGTGAGCACTCAATAAAGTGTCTATATGGATAAATCTTTGTAAACAGAAGTTCAGATGACTCCATTTACACGTTTCCAAAGTACCATGTTAGCAAAGACTAGCAGCATTTGGAGACTTTATTTTTAAAGAGTCTCCTTGTGCATATCCAAGTGCGTTTGACTCTTGGCATGGCAGACAGGGGTCCTCTCTCTGCAGGAAATAAAAACTTTCTGAAATCTTTGTGCTCAATTGGAATCCTTCTGAGGAGTAATTCAACGCATCTTAGAAAATGAGGTAGGTGAACAGTCATGATCCCCAAACATGAGTCGCAAAAAACAATATGAAATATTTAGAAAATATTTTTAAAATATTTGAATCCACAAAATTTCTAACTTTCAGAAATCAGTGAAAAGAACATTTGGAGACTTCAAATTTGTTGTTAGTATAATATTAATTACAATTGGGAGAAATACATCAAATATAGTAGGATAAAATAATTTAAAATTTGACCAACAGAATGAGAAGTAAAATACAGAATGTTACGGTAAGCTTACCAAGAATTTCTATTCTTTAAATCTAGTGTATTTTAATAACATTAAAAATTTGGCATATATTCATTCCATTGCACCAAAAGAATATATTTTGTAGCTGCCATATTATTATTTTTTATAAAGGATATATTTTAACCAGTAATTTGAAAGTTTACAATTTTGATTCAAGGCCTGTGCTCCCTCCCACCCCACAAATGGAGGAAAACAAAAATAGTAATATATATTACAATTTTTTAAAGTTTTGAGATAATTATATGTTTTCATAAGTATAATTTAAGTTAACAAGATATGTCGCAATGATTATTTTTATTCTTTCAACAAATATTGATTGCATACCTACCATTGGAAATAGAATAATGAGCACAATATTTGCTCGAACATAAGATACAGTCTAATAGGGAGAGAGACTGCTCAAATGTGATACATGCCTATGTAGCCTTATAACCTAAAATACATATATGTTATAAAAGATAGAAATATGATGCTATGAGAGAATACTGTATAACAGAGAAACTTACCTATAGGATGAAATACAAACTTTCATGACTATATTACAACGGGAATCAGATTTATAGGTTTATACATGAATTTGGATAGGAAAAGGCCAATAGAATAAATAATCTTTCCTGAGATATAATGTGAGGCATTGTTTGTTACAGGGAACTGAAATTCAGCCAGTATGGCTGGAAATCAGAGGTTAAGGGAGAGCATACAAAGACTCTGAAGGAGTTAGAAAACTAAACAGGAACTTCTGGGTCATATTTAAGAATGTAGTCTTCTCCTTAATTAAAAAGGAAGAGTCATTAAATCTATAAATTATAATGACAAGGCTACATTAGCATTTTAAAGTGACCATTCATGATGTGGTTTGGGAAACATATTGGAGTAGATGGAGTAGATGAGAGTGAACACAATAAGTTAGGATGCTTTTGCTGGCTTTGGGTTGATAGTTAATGTTACTTTAGATGACAAGAGTGGCAATAAATATGTAGATATGTGGTCATATATCAAAATATGTAAGATGTAAATTAATGACATAGTAATCAATTGTATATGGGTTGTGAGAAGCAAGATTGTATCATTAATGTATTCAATTAGCAAATACTAAATCTATACTATTTGCTACTTCAGTTATTGCTAATGAGAATAAGTGAATAAGACAAAGTCCATTTCCTCCTTCAAGTTACATTATTTAATGATAATTTTTCTGACCTTTGTAACTATAAGCATAAAGATGCCATTCACCCAAATAGTAATATGGATCTTCTAGGTAAATCTAGGTAAATGTAAATATTTAGTTGAGTTTAGTAGGGAAAATCATGGATCAATGGTGAATTAGAATTGGAGTTGCCTTTACAATATTCAAATACATGGGAAGTTTGATACTTCAGGCTATAATGCATAGAAGGCACATTTGCAAGGAGAAACACAATTTTTGGTCAGTGTTATGTAGAAGGCAATTAAAACTGAGGTTGTAAATGACATTTTCTAGAAAGAGTTATAAAAGACGAGAAATGTGACAAGGATGTAATCATGAAGTCCCTGAATATTTCATTGTCAAATAAATAAGATACTTCTCTGAAAGGAACTGGGATATTTCAGATTAGATAAAAGCTCAATGACTGAGACCTCAGGGATGCTTAGTTTGGTGAATATTATTAAGAAAGAGAAAGCTGTCTAGTGGAATGTTAGGCAAGATGAAGACTGAAAATAAAAATTCTTCACTGGATTTTTGAACATGGAGATCATTGGATTCATTGGTAACTACTGTTTTGTTGAACTAATGAACATAAAAGTCAGATTGGAATAAGATAAGAATAGTGGGAGTTGAGAAATGGAGGTTTGTATGAATAGACCTAAGGCACACAGCTCCATACATAGGGTATTCACATTTCACCGGTGAGGAAGTTGAACCCCAGAGTTGTTAGATACCTTACACATGACACAAAGAATTGCCAATAATCAGATTGGAGTCTTATGTGCTTTATAATACAAAATGAAAGAAGACATGTACATAATTTCAATTATTTCCAAATCATGACATCTACTTACTAATTTCTAAAAAATATCTGGCTGATTTATTTCATATTCTATCTCTGGGATAAGTAGTAAAACATAATAATTATATATATATATGCATACGCATATTACATGTGTGTGTATATGTATAGGGGTGTGTATGTGGGTGCAAGGGTATGTGTGTATGGTAAATGTTTAGAGATGGTAAATCCAAAATAAATCATTTCAGCTTGCATGAGGGATTGTCAATATTGCTAGCAGCAGATGCGAGGGAACTTTGCTGTGTTCTCTTTCCCAACAAGGTAACTACTGTATTCTATTTCCTCGGGCAGAGTATGTCCCCTTTGTCCCATTGATAGAAGTCTTGACCATGTGACTTATATCCATCACTGATGCATAAAACATTGATAGTGGTGTGGAAAGAGACACATCGGGCAAAAGGAAAACAGACCTTCATATTTATTTCCTTTCTTTTTCCCTCCTACCATGTGTTTCTTCCGTTCTTCCTCACTTTCATCTAATTTCTATTGTATCAAAATTCTTTCCCATATCATGTAACTGCACTATACTAGCACCTTAGAAGAAAACATTGAATAGGATTTATTCTCACCCTTTATTGACTTATCCTATGTGAAGAGAAGGAGAAAGTAGTTTTGGAGATAAATAAGAGAAAGCTTCTAATGAATGCATTACCTTCTAATGTAAAGGACAGAGATGAACAAAAGATCATTCAAAATAAAACATTTACTTTCATTTTGAGCAACTAAGAAAAGTAGTGATATTCTAGGAGATTTTTATTATCATCTTCCCCAGGTTCATCATAATTTCAATAACATTAGTATTAGGAAATGCGCATATATTGATTTTATTTTTATGCTTCAAATAATTATTCACATTAACTATACATTTTATACCAGATACATATATCCAACCTACAACAATAGAATAGAAAATTGAAAGAAAGGCCACTAAGATTTTTATCTCACCCATTGTGCTAGTCCCATTTATTCTCTCATCATGTAGGACTGTCTATAAATATGTTCATGGTTGTTAATTCTATTATCCTTGAAGGTAACTTTAGAGTATGAAGGGGAAATTAATTACTTGTAATGTTTATAAGGATGACAGTGAAGAATTCAGTTTATAACCGTTCTTTTGATCCATTAGCTACTTACAAAAAAGGTTTTCTAATTTACTAGTGTCAAAATGAACAATTTCTTTCTAATTTGCAAAAACTAAACAAATAATAACTGATATTTACTGGCACAATTACTTAATAAAAACAAAACAAGTGCAGATAGATTAAAAACTTTAAAGGAATTAGATATTTTATCAGCTTAACTGGTTACTTTATCAGTTTAAGTTTTATGAGAAATTCACTCATCATGTTGAAAGCTTACCTGGCTACTTTAGAAACACGTTAATCCCATTATTTGCTCTCTAAAGGGCAGCAGGTACAATCCAGTGAATTACGGGGAGTCTGGTAACATCTTCTGACCTTTCAATATACGTCTAATAAAGATACAAACTGGTGCAATCAAGTACACTCTTTCATGTTTAATGGGAGAGCATTGACTTATACTTCATGGTATTTCTTTTCAATGGTTCTTGATGTAATTGTGCCCATTTTACATCATATTATGGAGAAAAATACCTTTTTTAAAAGCTTTATGTTTAATCTTTTAAATTTCTCTGTATTTTAAAATTATTAAAAATTTGAAAAGTAAATTTTTATTTGGCTAAAGCATTTTACTAAGGATTTTAAAATATTTTTTCGATTGCTCTTAAATTGTATTTCCTCTGGTTACATGGCTTTGCAAATATAAATCTGAACTTCACAAAATTAATTGATCTCTTGAAAAGAATTAATTTTTCTTTTGAGTAAAAACAAATCTTTGTTGTTTCCATAACCCCTACCACATTCAATCTAATCCCAAAGTCAATTTTGTCTATTGCCAAAGTATATTCCAAATCCATCTTCACTATCCTCTATCAACAGCCACCACCTTAGTCCAAATCTCCTAAACTATAAGAGCCTTCATTTGGTCTTCTTGCTTCCAAGTCCGAGCTTCAAAAACACCATTCTCCAAAGCAGCAGCCAAGGTGATCTTTCAAAAAATATGTTGTACTAACCCTCTCCTGCACAACATTTCCCAATAACTTTTTACTGTAATTAGGATAATAAGAAAGCATTTCATGGCCTTCAAGACCATTTAGCTTTTGCAGTTTTTCTCTACTACTACTACATTATGCTGTTTTCCTTCTTTGTCTCTACACTCTAGACCTTGTAGCTTCTACTTTGTCCTTGAATGTTTTAAGATTAGTTGTATTTTGACGACTTTGATTTGGAATTTTCTCCCATTGTATATTTACATGCCTATATCATACTCATTCTGTTGCCAACTTGAATTTCTCTAAAGAGCCTTCCTCTGACATTCCTGACTATAATAACAATCTCATAACTCTTCTTAGCTCATTGATTTCATAACAGTTATCGCAATTTATCTTATTAATGTATTTGCTAGTTTTAAATTCTCTCTATTCAAGAGATAAGATCTTTTATATAGTGTTAAGGGCTAAAATCTCAGTTACTAGGACAATTCATGGTGTATATTGGGCATTCAAATGATTTTTGACTTTTGATCTTTTAATTTTAGGGTATTAAATCATATGGTGTTAAGTTATTAAGCTATTAAATTGTGTAGTATTATTGCAATGTGTGTTGTTTTGTATAGCATCTGTGGAAGTTAGGGTTTATTTTACTGATATAATTAAATTCTAAGACTGTGACCCCCACACTCCAGCTCCCAAAGGGACCATGCCATTGGATAATCAACTACCCAAGAGAAAGGGCAGGACCTGTGTTTATGACAGGATATGACATCCTTGATTAGGTTATGTGGTATGATATGGTAGTGATATGGGGATATTGCAGATGTAAATAAAACTCTAATCTGCTGACTTTTAGTTAATAAAAAGAGCAGACTACATTGCTGGACCAAACCCAGATGAATCTTTTTTTTTTATTTTTTATTTTATTATACTTTAAGTTTTAGGGTACATGTGCACAACGTGCAGGTTAGTTACATATGTATACATGTGCCATGTTGGTGTGCTGTACCCATTAACTCGTCATTTAACATTAGGTATATCTCCTAATGCTATCCCTCCCCCCTCCCCCCACCCCACAACAGGCCCCGGGGTGTGATGTTCCCCTTCCTGTGTCCATGTGTTCTCATTGTTCAATTCCCACCTATAAGTGAGAACATGCAGTGTTTGGTTTTTTGTCCTTGCAATAGTTTGCTCAGAATGATGGTTTCCAGATTCATCCATGTCCCTACAAAGGACATGAACTCATCCTTTTTTATGGCTGCATAGTATTCCATGGTGTATATGTGCCACATTTTCTTAATCCAGTCTATCATTGTTGGACATTTGGGTTGGTTCCAAGTCTTTGCTATTGTGAATAGTGCCACGATAAACATACGTGTGCATGTGTCTTTATAGCAGCATGATTTATAATCCTTTGGGTATATACCAGTAATGGGATGGCTGAGTCAAATGATATTTCTAGTTCTAGATCCCTGAGGAATCGCCACACTGACTTCCACAATGGTTGAACTAGTTTACAGTCCCACCAATAGTGTAAAAGTGTTCCTATTTCTCCACATCCTCTCCAGCACCTGTCATTTCCTGACTTTTTAATGATCGCCATTCTAACTGGTGTGAGATGGTATCTCATTGTGGTTTTGATTTGCCATGTCTCTGATGGCCATTGATGATGAGCATTTTTTCATGTGTCTGTTGGCTGCATAAATGTCTTCTTTTGAGAAGTGTCTGTTCATATCCGTCGCCCACTTGTTGATGGCATTGTTTGTTTTTTTCTTGTAAATTTGTTTGAGTTCTTTGTAGATTCTGGATATTAGCACTTTGTCAGATGAGTAGATTGCAGAAATTTTCTCCCACTCTGTAGGTTGCCTGTTCACTCTGATGGTAGTTTCTTTTGCTGTGCAGGAGCTCTTTAGTTTAATTAGATCCCATTTGTCAATTTTGGCTTTTGTTGCCATTGCTTTTGGTGTTTTAGACATGAAGTCCTTGCCCATGCCTATGTCCTGAATGGTACTGCCTAGGTTTTCTTCCAGGGTGTTTATGGTTTCAGGTCTAACATTTAAGTCTTTAATCTATCTTGAATTAATTTTTGTATAAGGTGTAAGGAAGGGATCCAGTTTCAGCTTTCTACATAGGGCTAGCCAGTTTTCCCAGCACCATTTATTAAATAGGGAATCCTTTCCCCATTTCTTCTTTTTGTCAGGTTTGTCAAAGATCAGATGGTTGTAGATATGCAGCATTATTTCTGAGGGCTCTGTTCTGTTCCATTGGTCTATAGCTCTGTTTTGGTACCAGTACTGTGCTGTTTTGGTTACTGTAGCCTTGTAGTATAGTTTGAAGTCAGGTAGCGTGATGCCTTCAGCTTTGTTCTTTTGGCTTAGGATTGACTTGGCAATGCGGGCTCTTTTTTGGTTCCATATGAACTTTAAAGTAGATTTTCCAATTCTGTGAAGAAAGTCATTGGTAGCTTGATGGGGATGGCATTGAATCTATAAATTACCTTGGGCAGTATGGCCATTTTCACGATATTGATTCTTCCTACCCATGAGCATGGAATGTTCTTCCATTCGTTTGTATCCTCTTTTATTTCACTGAGCAGTGGTTTGTAGTTCTCCTTGAAGAGGTCCTTCACATCCCTTGTAAGTTGGATTCCTAGGTATTTTATTCTCTTTGAAGCAATTGTGAATGGGAGTTCACTCATGATTTGTCTCTCTGTTTGTCTGTTAATGGTGTATAAGAATGCTTGTGATTTTTGCACATTGATTTTGTATCTTTAAAGAAGACTGAAAGCTGTAGCCGAAGAAACTCTCCTGTTGACCTCATAGAAGCCAGCTGCCCTCTTGTGGAGAGAACTATGTTGCAGGAAAGAGCTTGTATTCAAGGATGTGGACAACTCTGAACCCTCATATGCAGCTGATGGGAATATAAAATGGTTTTGGTCACTTTGAAAGACAGGCTGGCACTTCTTCATTAGGTTAAGCATTGAGTTACTGTATGACCCAGAACTTCCATTCTGAGTTATATACTGAAGATAGTTGAAAACACAAATCCACATAAAAACTTGCACAGACATGTTCATGGTAGGGTTACTCATAATTTTAAAAAGTGAAAACAACTCAAATGTGTGTGAACTTATAGATGGATAAATAAAACATGTCTTATCCTACAATGGAATATTATTTGAAAATTAAAGGAAATGAAGTAGTGACAAATGCTACAATGTGGAAGAACCTTAAAAACATAAGTGAATGGGAGGGGTCCTTTCCCCATTGTTTGTTTTTATGGCTTTTGTTGAAGATCAGATGTTGTAGGGGTGCAGCATTATTGCTGGGCTCTCTATTCTGTTCCATTGGATCTATGTGTCTGTTTTTGTACCACTACTATGCTTTTTTGTTATTGTTGTTGTTACTGTAGCCCTGCAGTATCGTTTGAAGTCGGGTAATGTGATGTTTCTCCAGTTTTGTTCTTTCTGCTTAAGAATGTCTTGACTATTTGAGCTCTATTTTGGTTCTATATGAATAAAAACTACCTATTGGGTAATATGCTCATTACCTGATGATTAAATAAGTTGTACATCAAACACCTGCGTCAAACAATTTACCTGTACCGCAAACCTGCACATATACCTCTGATCCTAAACATTTAAAAAAAAAAAAAAAGTGAAAGGGTCTAATCAAAAAATGCCACAAATTTTAAGATTCTATTTATATGATATAGACAGAATAGGCTACTCTGTAGAGACAAAGGGTAGAATAGTGTTTTCCTATGACTAGAAGTGGGGGAAATGTGTGGTGACTGCTAGCAGGTATGAGGTTTCTTTCTGATATGATGAAAATGTTTTAAATTTATTGTGGTGATGGTTGCATGAATCTGTGAATATTCTAAAATCATTGAAATATACACTTTAAAGGGATGAATTGTATGGTATACCAATTATCACAATCCTTTAAAATAATAAGCCACCAATCAAAATATAGTGGTTTAAAGTGTATAATACCCTATTTCTCTCATGTGCAGTACATGTCTGAGTTTGTGGGGTGGGTCTGCTCCACATAGACCTGCTCTGCTGTTCCTTCCAGGACACAGGTTTCTTCTACCTTGTTATTTTACCATCCTCAGTGAAATTGTTGTCTTATAAGTGTTCAAACTTCATTTATTGCTATAAGAAGGCACTGGTTAAAGTAAATGACATCTTTTAATATGGAGATGATACAGGAAAAGAGCAAATAGTAGAAATTATCACATAATCGAGCACCTTTTTATACTCAATTAATAAGCTTTAAATGGGATAACAAAGTTAATTTCATATAAAGAAATTTCATTCCCTAAGCTGTGTATCACTGTAAATAGCTGTGAATACAGAGTATGCATTTAACAAATAAAGCCATATGTTTTTTGCAAGATGGGAATTTGAGATGAATAAAAAGGCTTACATTTGGGTATAACAACTTTTATTATATTAAACTGTTTAGGTATTTGAGTGAAAATCATCTTATTTTAAAGTACTACTTCTTCAATTCAATATTGAATTTAATATTATTTTTTCTAGACAATGAGTACCAAGGATGTTAAATGTCAGTTATATTACTTAGGATTTTTACTGCACTTTTAATTGTGACATTTTTCAGAGTTTATACAGAGCAGAAATCTTTTTAACCTTAGAAAATTTGAGCAATCACCTAATTAAAGATTACCAAACATGTCTTATAATTTTACAACCCAACTTCTATTTCAGGAATGTTTAAAAGTTCATCTTTCTTACAAGCTTTAACCCAGAGAATAAAAACATTATACTTACCCATAAAATATTTAATTTCTAATACAATAAAAGCTCTTTTCATTTTTCTCTCTCTGGGGAAGCAATATTCTTCCTGATCAGTAGAAGTAAGGATAAAACAGTATAAAATTTGTGTCTGAGTCTTTGGGATAGCAGATTTTTTCCATTCTTATGTTTTTTGGTGGAATGAGTCTATATGAAATTGTATCTCAATTAATACCAGATTATAAAAATTAATAACAGATTATAAAATACCAGGTTATAAATTAATACCAGATTATAAAAACAATATATTTTTAAGTTAAAAATGCATTAGAGCAGAATCTAGACAATAAAAATGGAAGTAGGAGTTAAAGTAAAGTTGGCATTGGATACAATGTAACTTAACCTTTTCCCTGGGTTTTCAGAAGTTTTGCTTTATAATTGGGAAAAATGTGAAAATTTGAGACAATATATTTTGTTGTTTTTCTATGTATACTTTAAGAATGTAGTTTTAAAGTACATAAACATTAAGAATATTATTCTAAAGCATTGCATGATTTTAGCAATGTTTGGCCCACACAATATACCTCTGTCTACACCCTACATCACCTAAGAATTGGTCATTTGAAGGACTTTTCAGATTATGTTTCTTACCAACCCATTGGACTGAGATTTAAATGCTAAATATAAATTATAAATATAATTGCCTCCTACTCAAACATACTAGTGTTTATATCACAAACTTTAGTTTTGTAGTTTGGGGCCCTTTCTAGATAGCTGAGTAAGAAGCTGATTATTATAAAAAGAATACATTTTAGATAAATCTCACAATATGAATAAGCTTTTTAATTCCTTTACTGTATTATAGTTATCACATAAAACTTAGGGGATTCAGCATTATTTTTTCATCGCTAAGTTAAATAGTAGAAAAGTAAACCCCAAAGGTATTATTTACAGTTGCTCATAGCCTTACACCAAGCAAGTAGCAGAATTTTAATTCAAACTCAAATTTTCTGTTATCAAGTTCTATTTGAATAATGGGACTGATATAACTACTGCTCATTATACAACCACAGAAACCTCTTGTAAGAAAGAGTAGAGGAACACAGGCAATATATCTTCCAAAACGTTTGCAGATAGGTAGGCTGTGCCAAAAAGGCTTTACAATAAGAAGAATAACTAAAATATTCTGCCTACCTTTACAAGGACAGAGAATAAAGATTCTTCACAAGGAATATTAGCTTCAGAAACTTGGCCTTTCAAATCTCTTAAAAAGCAGTTGCTTAGGGAGAGGATCTTTAAAAATATGTGGATTGTGCTTGACGTAGCAAATTTCTTCTATCTGCAAAAGCCCTTTTCTCACTACCTCATATACACCCCTTTGATATGGCACCATGTTTGAAATTGGAGCGTACACACATAGTCATTGGATTTACTGGGATTCTCTTTGTGACAAGTAGGAGCCAAGGGGTCATGCAGGGAAGCGAACGTGCCCGATAAGGATTTCCTTGTTGCCAGAGTGTTTAGCAGCTGAGAAGTATGAAGCTGTTTGATGAAAGTTGCATGTGACTAAGGGAACTCAGAGTTTCTGGTCATAAGAGCTTTATGAAAGTTAGAGAGGACTGATGTAGACACAAAGTCACTTTTGGAGCCTGAGGTTTTAAGAGGAACCTCACTTGCACATGGGTGATCTGGGGCTGAGTATTAGCTCTGGGTGTGTCCACTGCGAATTCATGAGAAACAGCTGTGTCTCTCAATACAGCTAGAAATCACAAACACCTGGTGCTACTGAGGATCTACCCAGGCATATCACTGGATCTCATGCACCATCAATAACAGTTTCACATAACACCATGCCATTAACTCTCTCTCTGTCTCTCTCTCTCTCGGACTCTCGCTCTGTCCCCGAGGCTGGAGTGCAGTGGCGCGATCTTGGCTCACTGCAAGCTCTGCCTCCCGGGTTCACGCCATTCTCCGGCCTCAGCCTCCCGAGGAGCTGAGACTACAGGCACCCGCCCCAAGCCCGGCTAATTTTTTCTTTTCGTATTTCTAGTAGAGACGGGGTCTCACAATGTTAGCCAGGATGGTCTGTATCTCCTTACCTTGTGATACCCCCACCTCGGCCTCCCCAAGTGTTGGGATTACAGGCGTGAGCCACTACGCCCGGCCACCATGCCATTAACTTTCATACATATCCTAAAATAATTTTCATAAGAATAATCATAGAACTTTTAAAAAGATGATAATAAAACTATTCTGAGATACATGGATAAATCGAAGTTTTTTTGTTTTTGTTTTTTTTGAGATAGGATTCTACTCTGTCACCCAGACTGGACTGCAGAGGCATAGTCACGGGTCACTGCAGCCTCAACCGCTCCAGGCTCAAGTAATCCTCACACCTCAGCTTCCCAAGTAGCCGGGACTACAGGTGTGCGCCACTATGCCTGGCTAATTTTGTAAAGATGGAGTTTCACTATGTTGCCCAGGCTGATCTGTAATGCCTGGGCTCAAGTGATCATCCCGGATCAGCCTCCCAAAGTGCTGGGGTTATAGGAATGGGCCACTGCCCCTGGCTTCAAGTTCTGAAATACAGAAATTCAGTTTTGTAAACTGTCAATTTAGAAACTAATTTATAATATTAAATTTCATTAAAAAATCCATTATGTTGGGAAGATAATTACATAGTTAATTACAAAATGTTAAAATTCAGCATAGCATCAAAGTTTCGAAAATAAATACAATGCCTGGATAAGTATACTACTACACACACACACACATACATTTATACACACATAAACACACACATATACACACATACGTATGCACACAAAGGGCTAAAAAAGCAACATTACAAGCCTAAATGCCACTAAACTTTTTGTGGGGCTGGTCATTTGAAACATAACTAAAGTCAGTCTGGAAAGCTTAATATGAAAACAAAATAATGAAAAACTTACAAAATATGAAGCAGTAATGGGGAGATTACATTACTAGCAGCCATGACATATTTTAAAGCTGCCAGAATAGAATTTCTACTTGTAGGAATCATGATGTAGTCTGTTTCAGACAACAATCCCTGCTGTTTGAGACTAGCTGCACTATCATCTATCTATCTATCATCTATCTATATATCTATCTTTCTTTCTATCATCTATCCACCCATCCTTCTATCTGTCTTTCGATCTATTTATCCAAATCTTTATTTCATCTTTCCCTTTAAGGAATTGCTGACAAAGAAAGGGGTGCTTAAAGAGAAGATGGAAATCTCTGAGATATAAATTTTAGATGAGATTTCAATAATATTGAAATTGCACATTGGGGAAATTGCAATATGAGGGGAAATTGCAATTGGAGTTCAGAGCTAGTAAGAAAGAGAAACCTTGGTAAAAACAACCAGTTTCCAGTGAAGTCTGTAGAATAGCAAAATGGTAGAAGTCCCAGTTACTTAGAATACTCTAACAAAATGCTAAAATGAAGCCTCAAAGTAGATCACTACCTGACTGGATTGAAGTGAGCTGCTCCTAATTACATTGCATGCTGGAAAGCAAATGTAAATATTTTCTAGAGACTCAATTTATTTCCTAAATTACTCACATTTAAATTTTAGTATGAAAACAAAAATATCTGTGCACACCAGGAGAAGAAGAAATGTTCAAAGGGAAAAAAAAGAGATAATAGACTTTAGAAACAGACCCAAATGTGACCCAGGTACAGAAATTATGGAATGAATGTTTTTGTATATTTTAGAAAGTCAATGACAACAGGAGAAAGTGGAAATACTAGAACTAAAAAATATTAAAAATAATTTAATAAATTAGTAGATAGGCTAGTAGCATATTAGTCTCTTGAGAAGATGAGGGGATTGAGCTGAAGTATGGGTCAATATTAAAATATAGAAAATATACTACTAATGCAAGTGAAATAAGTATTGAAATACATAAAACTGGAGTTACAGAAAGAGAGAATGGAGCAAATATTTGAAGACATAATGTCAGAGTTTTGAAATTGGTAATGATCATGATGTCAATGACTTAAGATGTTCTATGATCACCAATCTTGTTTCAACCCTTTATATATGAATATTTGCTCTCTTCCATGGATCATGGAATCTCAGTCCCTACGTATTGGCAGCCCAGGAGTTGGCAAAATTATTCAAGAGGAAATTCCACATAGACTTCTAGGCTTCTGCCACCAATTTCATAGCCTCTTTGTAAGTTCTAAATGCTGATCTGCTTCCTTCTTTCAGATAGATCTCCTCATGCTTGGGCTTAGCCTCGCTGTGCTGAAATTATATCCTACAAAACTAAGCCCAAATGGAAGTGGGACAGTCCTCACGTATCTCCCTTTCTAAAAAATTTCAATCCTGCAGTGGTTCCATCTGCAATTACCATTTTATAAATTTTCTTCAGATTTTATATTGTTCTTACCAATTTCTCCATCATGAATGGAATTAGAAAATTAATGCACGTTAAAAAATATTGCTATAGATGTTGTGTATGGTATTCCCTGTTTTGGGGAAGACTGAAAGCAGAGAAGACAGCTGGTTCATGTATTTTTTTCATGCTTTAGATTTAAGTGTCCACAGACAAGATATTACTGTTCATGAACAGTATTTTTCTATGAAGTTTCTTTTCACGGATTTTCTCTTGTGACTCACCTACTAAACTCCATCTGGCTCTTACCAATGCCCTTTCCTGACCATTCTTATACTCTTAACCAACTGCTGAATCTCATTTATTTAGAAAAAAAGTTTATTTCTCAAACTTTTCCCTTCATTTTCTTTCTGTGACCAAAGTTTAAATATCTCCTAAAGGCATTCTCCCTGCATATTTTTCCAATACGGGATGCTCTTCTAGTCTGCCCCTCTTGTTAGTGGCTGAAATGTGGCAGAGCAAACCTCCATGTTCCTCACTGCTGCTCTTAAATAAATCTCCATTTCTCCTCTCTAAAAATCCCTATCTTTGAAACTCACATCCTTAGACTCTTCTATCCACTACATTTTTGTTGGAATTATCAGCTGAAAATCATATTAAGACTCATTTTTGAAGACATTCTTTCTTACTGATTGTCATTTGTCTCCAACACTGCTCCTCTTGTCATCACCGTTGGTTTCAGTATCTACTAATTGACCCTTTCAATAGCCTGGCCTAAATTCCATGATCTCCTTTCTTTAATGATTTCATCTTTCGCCTTACTTCAACTTTGTATTTATGTGTCCTTAAAAAAAGAAGTTATCACCACAATAGTCTCAATTTTATGTATCTTACTCTCCATCTACAAACACTTAACATTTACAGTTTGTTTCCCCCAGTGATACTGAAAATTCTCACACCCCACCAGGACTGGTATATCATACATCCTACTACTCTAGTCCACAACTGACATATACACTAACTTATAATCATCATCATTTGTATGCGTCTTTAACTTATTAAACTCACTCTCTTTTCTATATTCATTTTGCATTACTACAAATCTAGCTAATGAGCTCTCCACCGTGGCACCTATGAGTAGTGTCTACTCCTGTGTAGTTGAAGGGAGTTGGAGGAAAAACATGCTGACTGATCTCAATCTTCATTTATTAACTAACTTTAAATGAGATTCTTATGGTGTCTAGCAAGCATATTATTCTGTTCTTATCTATTCATTTTCTCACTGCCCTCTATGATTCTTTCAAACATTTTCATCTCTCTTTAAAGTTTCAAAACCTTCCTCTATTTTCATTCTTGGCTGTAGACATTGACTTGACTTTTTTTTCCCACATTGTGGTTAAAATATTTTACCATCCTAAACATTTTTAAATGCACAGTTCATTAGTGTTAAGTATGTTTACATTGTTGTGTAACAGGTCTGCAGAGCTTTTGACATAGACTTTTATATTATCCAGGCAATAGAAGTAAGTCGAAGTGAACGCTCACTAGCACCACAGTACAACCAGCAAATATTCTCAGATACCTGCATCTTGACCATATACTTAGTTTGTTCACTATGCATGGGCTACTCAAACTCATACAACTAGCTAACACTCTCACTTGTATATTATTGTTCCCTACTCTCTTATTCAAGAGCATTAGATCAGCAGTTGTCCTCTCTTGCTCCCTCCACACTTGATCTTTCGCATCAACATATAGACTTTTATTTTTCTCGTGTTAAACATGACTTTCTTGATCATACTTTCTCTCTCTAACTACTATATTACTCTTCTCCTAGAAGGACTTTACATTTTCTTCCTCTAGTCTTTTCCTTCCTACTCTCTCTTGGATTACTAGCAGCGTTTCATGCTAACACTATGCAGGAACTATTTTTGCAATATCACCAATGTTGCTGAATTTAAAACGTGTGTCTCAGTACTTACTTCTGTTAACCTTTCTGGAGCATTTGCTACAGCCCATGAATCTCTCCTCCTAGATGTATGTCTTTTATTGGTTTCCAGAACCCTACGCCTTCTAAAGTTCTTTCTTATTGATTTCCCTTGTCAGTCTATATTGCTAGTTACTTCTAATCTTCCAAATTACTTCAAACTGGGTGCCTTTGGACTCAGTTCTGATATCACCTGTGAACTCCAGACATTATTTATCTACCTAATTGATCTTTATATTTTTGGATATCTAATAGGTATTTTAAAATGTATATGACTAAGGACAAATTTATAACCTAATGCCCTATCCTCAATCTGTTCCTCTATTGTCTTCCCAATTTCAGTTTATAGCAACTCCATTCTCCCTTTACCTTAAGCCAAAACTTTGAGTTTTGCTTGACACCAATCTCGTCTCATGCCTATAAACGATGCATCACATATTCTGTATTCAGATTATATTTTGAATCTCATCACTAGCTCACTTCACCATTGTCCCCTTGGTCTCCCTAATAGCACTAGCTAATAAGAGTTACCTCAGTCATAAAAATGTCCTGTATTTGTATTGCCTATAGCATAGCCTCTAGCCACATATGGCTATTGAACACTTGAAATGTGCTAATGTCATTGAGAAAACTAATTAATTATACTTAATTTAAATAGTAACCTGACTAAAGGGCACTATATTGTACAAGGCAGGTCTATTCCTCTATGCTAGATAATCCTCAGGCTTTTTATTTTATTTTTTTTTTGAGATGGAGTTTCACTCTTGTCACCCAGGCTGGTGTGCAGTGGTGAGATCTCTGCTCACTGCAACCTCCTCCTCCCAGATTCAAGTGATTCTCCTGTCTCAGCCTTCCTAGTAGCTGGGATTACAGGCATGTGCCAGCACGTCCAGCTAATTTTTGTATTTTTAATAGAGACGACGTTTCACCATGTTGGACAGGCTGGTCTTGAACTCCTGACCTCAGGTGATCTGCCTGTCTCGGCCTCCCAAAGTGCTGGGATTACAGGCGTGAGCCACCGCACCCGGCCCTCAGGCTTTTTTCAAACACAACTTTCCTGATATACTTTATATATAATGAAATTCATTTGTTTCAAGTGTGCAGTTCACTTTTTCTAAATGGTAAATCTATCGTCGTAAATGACTTTTAGAACATTTTCATTTTCCAATAAGATACCTGCAATGAGTATCCCTCATTCCCATTGAGAATTACTCCCTATTCCCAACCCAGCCCCAGGAAACCACTAATCTACTTTCTATATCTGTAATTTTGCCTTTTCTGGGCATTTCATGTAAAATAAGATTGCACCATACCGACTGTTGTGCCTTACTTTTTTCACTTTGCATACGATTTTTGAGGTTCTTCCATGAAATATTATTCGTCGGTAGCTCATCCCTTTTCCTAAACAGTACTCCGTTGTATGCATATATCACATTTTTTCTGTTAATTCAACAATTGGTGAATAGTAAGGTTCTTTCCACGTTTTAGCTACTGTAAATACTACTCCTATGAACATCCATGTACACATTGTGTGGACATATGCTTTTTTTTCCTCTTAGGTTCATACCTAGAATTGGAGCTGCTGGGTTGTATGGTAGTTTCATGTTTAACTCTTTAAGAAACTGAATGTTACAGAAAGTGGCTGCATCGTTTTACATTGCTATCAGCAATGGATGAGGATTCCTTTTTCTTTATATCCATACAACGTTTTTTCTGTGTGTCTTATAGCCATTCTAGAGCGTGTAAAATGGCATCTTACTGTCGTTTTGATTTCTAGTTCCCTGTTGACTAATGATATTGGGTATCTTTTCATGTCATTATTATTTGCATAAGTTCATTTGTGAGATGTCCCTTTATGTCATTTGCCTATATTTGATTGTACTGTTTATCTTCGTATTGAGGTGTAAGAGGTTTCTGTAAGATAGGTTTTATAAATATTTTCTCGTGATCTGTTTTTTTTTTGTTTGCGTGTTTGATTTTCATTTTATCTTCTAAGTGAGGCTTTCCTTGGCTGTGTTATTTAAAATTGCAGTCACCCTTGTACTGGCTGTTACCATCTGCTTTTACAATTTTCATTCATACTTTATGTCATCATCTAACAAAATACAGGTCTTAATTAGTTTAATGTTTTTGTCTCCCCACCGGCATGTAAAGTCTATGAGAAAACAGTTTTCATGTGTGTGTGTGTGTTTTTTTAACCTCTCTTATTTACATTCTAGACCTTATAGACAAACAATTATTTGTCATTTGAATAAATGGATACTTTAATATATTCATGTGAACTAAATCTCATTATTATCACTAGCTATTCACTTTTATCTATTGTGAAATAATAATATTATCAGTTCTTCATTATTCATTGGAGGTTTTTGAAACTCCACTGAGTATTCTAATTAAAATATGTAATGTCAAATTTTAAATAAGCATGATGGATTTATAGAAATTTGAAATTTAAAACAATCCATAAGGTCATATTGTTGATCTGTAAAATGATTTCAGTAGTCCGAGTAATGTTATTACATTGCTGCTTTTTAAATTGTCTTTTCACAAATAGATAAAAATTGATCAGTATTCAGGAATGTACAAAAGTCCTATGACCTTTTGCTAAGCTTTAGAAAAATTAGTATTATTTTCTTGTTTTTATCTTGCAGTTAATTCTACAGCTGAATCAATCTTGAGTCTGTTTTTAGCTTTCTGCCTGCTTTGATTTAGAGCCAATCTATTATGAGCTGTCTGAGGTTCTTTTTTTTTTTATCTTAAAGTAATCTCATCCCTAACACTTTCATACAGTACCTACTTATTCTTCATGGATTGGAAAGAATAACCGTACTTTACTATTCTAATAATGTTTCTTAGATAAGGATTTTAATTAAGACAGAAATTGGACTATATCATTCAGGCATACCAGAAGGACAACTAAAGAGTTTGGCTTGTATAAAAATTAAATATTTTTTGAATTTCTGATTTTATTTAATGGGTAAAAAACATATATTCTAAAATATGCTTGTAACAAAAATATGAGAGAAATAACTCATTATTTTCTCTGGGGAGAAGTTAAAGAAAGTAAATGGGATTTTCTTTTCTAAATATATATTTTTAACATGTGATAAATGTTAACACGTCACTGAGACTTGTTGTGTATTAGTCTTTGCACCTAAAAAAATGAGGATATTGGGAAACATATTATTGGGGAAATAAAATGAGTAATGTATGCTTGGTTTGTTATAAGTTACAAAGTGTTGAGCAAATGTATGTTGTATATTGATCTATATTTTATACAAATGTATATTACAGTATATATTTTGCATAATACACACAGGTTAAAATGTATGCTGTCATATGTATTTAGGCATACTAAATCATATTAAATTAGTAAAATATTCAATATATATATTTATAATAGATCAGTGAAATTGTCTAAATGTATTAAGTATTTTGTTGACCTATTATTATAAATATTAATTTAAAATGATGGTTTTATGTTGTAAATATTTTTGGAACACAAATATCTATTTCAATTCTGAAAAGCATAATTTAAAAAATATCTAATCTTTTTTTCTCTGTTTTTGTTTGTGTTTATTTATTTCTAGAAAAGAATAGCTAGCATGATGTATTTCAAGTTTCTGGCATGTCATTTTCACTGAGACGTCTGAAGACCAGAAAGACTTTGCAGAATTTCAAAACACTTATTAGATGGTTTTGAGACTAGCAGATTAATACACATTTGGTTTTTCAATGTACAGCCGTAAATGGACATGGAATGACCAAAAAGCTGCATTAAGCTTCATGGAGACCATTCAGTTTTCCACAGTAGTGTTTGGTGTATACAGTAAAGAAGATAGAGAGAAGGAGAGGAAGCTAGTGAGAGGGAGGGGGAGAAAAGAGGGACTTTACTGGGTTGCATAATGATAGTCAAAATAGTTTAAGGAAAGCAAAATTTTATAATAAATTAATACATTTAGCCTTTTTTATTTCTCTTAAAATTTTTGTTTGGACCCAGAATAAATTTTTATTTAACTTATATTTCTCAGTGTTGACATAAGGTACAAATTCATTAAATTTTTACCTTTGCCAGAATTACTCTTTTTACCTTTATACACCAATAAAAGGATGATAAAATTTAAGTTTAAAGAGATTACATTTAGGCCAGGCACGGTGGCTCGTGCTTGTAATCCCAGCACTTTGGGAGGCTGAGGCGGGCAGATTACTTGAGGACAAGAGTTCAAGATCAGCCTGGCCAACATGGCGAAACCTCTCTCTACTAAAAATTAGCTGGTGTTGGTGCACTTGCCTCTCGTCCCAGCTACTCGGGAGGCTGAGGCACGAGAATGGTTTGAACTCAGGAGCCAGAGGTTACTGTGTGCTGAGATTGTGCCACTGCATTCCAGCCTGGGCAACAAAGTGACACTGTCTGATAAAACAAACAAACAGACAGAAAGTTTACATTTAAATTTGTTTCTATTTATAACTCGTTCTCTTTATTTTACCAAGTTCTAAATATAATTTCTCTAATTTATTTGGGTAGATAAGATTAATAATTCAAGACTTGATTCTAGAAAACATAATCAAATTTGTTAAGTAACCTGAATGTGGATTTTGGTCACTCAAATCTCTTTTCCTTAATGTGTGTCATAAATGCATAACATGACATTATTACTAACAACTGTAAAATACTCCACACATCATAAAGTTGAATGTACAATTCATTGAATTAGTAAAAAATCCATGTTAATTTCATAAATGTTCCTATAGACAACACACATTTCACTATAGATGTGCAAGTACATTATCTTATATTGTTTGCTTGCTAACTAATTAAAATTATTTTTTCTATAATATTATAGAAGAGGTTTATGGCAATAATCAACCGGTCTCCTAAATCTATGGTTTCCTTGTTATATGTTTTGTGGATAAAATTGATTGAATAAATGATATTTCTCATAATCAGTTAAAGGATGGTAAAATGCTTTTTCACAATATTTATTCAAAAGTTGCAAAATGATCAAATTAATTTTCTTGAAATTAAAACTATATATTAACATTAAAAAGTTATCTTAATCAAAATGATCCAAAATTAAACCTAGACCTTAAGAGTAATTTATAACTGAATTAAATATGGTACTATATAATTAAATTAAGTATTGTTCTATAAGTTGGCATTTTAGAAGGCATAAAATGAAATTATTTACCCTTAAATAATTCATAGCTTACTGGAATAAAATCCTTTTGTGAAATTAGCTCATTTGGTTTTTACTCAATACTATGTCCCTCAATTAAACTTTTTGTCCAATATATGTTCATTTTAAACAATGAACATATATTTACTCTGATGCCAAAAGTATTTAAATAATTTTATGTATTTTCCAAAAACTTAGTCAGAAAATATATCAAGGTATAATTTTAATAATTTACATACATCACATATCTAGCTTCTATAATACAAACTCCATATTAATTTCTGTATATCACACTATTAATGATTCACTCAATTCATTCTGATTTTTTCTCAAGAGACCTTTGTTTAATGTCTTATATTAAATAAAAGAATTTTAGTTTGCTAATAACAAAATCATTAGAAAAACATTTAAAGTAATAAATTGATTTGTATTCATATAGAATTTAAAAAAATTAAAGTTCTATTTATAATTATGAGACTATGTTCAAAGCAGAAAATAATCTGTTGTATATAGAAACACAAACATGTTTTTTAAAACTGATTTCTAGTGAAAATGATTTGAGATCATCTTTAGAGGGCAGCATCTAACTAGGGAAAGAGGTATTTCAGGCTAATATGTTTGAGCCATTGCAATGGTTATATCTGGTTGTTGGAAGTTGATAGCCTATTAAAACATCACCGATTTCATAATTCCAATATCAGAAGACACTAAATAACAGCATCTGACATTAGTCTCCATGAATAATCCAGTTGAACGTGCACCTCATTAAATGTCACCTGTTCTTAAAGGCATGTGTATTTTTACAGTAGATATTACAGTATCTCAGAACACATTTATTTTTACTCAAAGCATGGTAATACATAGCAATAGCAATCTAGGCTTTAACCAATATGTATTATAAAAATAAGAGTGGGAGAATGAATTTCCAATATATTTTTTAATCGTATCATAGCACAATTTTTTTTAATGCTGCAAAGGAAGAAGTAAAATAAATGAGGCTATATATTCTTGTAATCAAATGAGACTAGGACTTTAAAACATGGGTCTAAAGAGTATTTTATTCCATATCCTTTGCCTTAAAATTAGAAAACATAAATGTTAGTTAAAAATTACTGTGAAATATATGAACTAATTAGCTTATTAAACATACATTAATGAAATAACTGTTCATTGTTCTATGATTTTATATGGGAAAATTCTATATGTGCACACAATCACTACTTCTGGAAATCCTTGATATAACAATGCTTTTTAACCCTTCTATAGCTAATGACAATCATTTTGTGGAATAAAGCTTTGCAAACTATTAAGGACCAATTAATGTATTTCAGCAATAGCATAAATTGAACTCAAATTACTTAAGAAACTGAGTATGCTATCACTTGTTTCTTTGAAAATGAATAATTTACACATATAATTAATCAGTTAAACACCTCAGCAGTGCATTATCAAAACCACCATTCAGAGCAAGCCCTTCAGTCATTTATTCACTCAACAAATATTTATTGAACATATCTTTGTGCTAAGCATTCCGAGGAGCTAGGGAGTACATTTATACCAGAAACTATGCAATGCAGCGTTCTTCCCTCATGTAACTTTAATTACCCTTATTATTTGACTTTTACCTTGGATGTGTGTGAATGTATGTTGAGGACTGGTGATAAATGGGTACAAAAAGCAGTGGATCTGAAGGATTTTTAACCCCATCAAAACATAAAATTAATGTTTCTTTATAACAATCTGATCAACTATACTCACATAGTCTCCTCTAATCTCTAATATTTTAATTAATTTGGGGTAGGCAGAAAAAAAGTTGCTTCTACTTTTTATTCGCCATGATATTATCCATAGAACCATCTAAAAGAACTTAGTGTTAAAAAATTCGAGTGGATTTAAAAGCTATAAATATGTTGATATGATTTGGCTCTGTGTCCCTACCCAAATCTCATCTCAAATTGTAATCCCCATGTGTCAAGGGAGGGACCTAGTGGGAAGTGATTGGATCATGGGGGTAGTTTTCTCCACGCTCTTCTTGTGATAGTGAGTCATTTCTCATGCGATCTGATGGTTTAAAGGTGTGGCACTTCCCTTTCCTCTCTCTTTCTCTCTCTCTCCTGCTGCCTTGTAAGATGTGCCTTGCTTTCTCTTTGCCTTCCACCATGATTGTAAGTTTCTTGAGGTCTCCCAAGCCATGTGCAACTGTGAGTCAATGAAACCTCTTTTCTTCATAAATTACCCAGTCTCAGGTAGAATCTTTATAGCAGCGTGAAAACAGACTAATACATAAGTCGGCATGATTCTAAACACAAATCTAACTGCAGGTAACCTTTGAACAATGCAGGAGTTGGGGTACCAAACCCCCACATAGTAGAAAATTTATGTATAGCTTCAGACACCCTCAAAACTTAACTACTAATGGCCTGTTGTTAATCATAAGCCTTACTGATAACATAGTTGATAACATATTTTGTATGTTATCTCTATTATATGCTGTGTTCTTTCAGTAAATGAAGCTAGAGAAAAGAAAATATTATTGGGAAAATCATGAAGGAGAGAAAATACATTTACTGAACTGTATGGTATTTATCAATACTGTAGGTTTATTTCATCTATTTATAAAATATATGTTCTATCTGAAATGGTGGGCAAAAGCAGCTGCAGACCTCAGTCTACAGTACACATCAAGTAATTCAACTTTTTTTGTGCTTTTTGAGAGCACTTCCAGAATCATTAATGGCATTTTGTCCCATGGTGTTATTGAAGGTTCATGGTATTATACTAAAAATAGTGAAAAATACTTGAAACTGTGAGAGATCGCATTTTACTGCCATACCCAATTTACGGAGGACACGAGCTGCTCACGTGGAGATGGTGAGAGTCGCACAGCATTTTAAGCAGATATTTGAAACGCTTGAGTTCACCACCATAGCAACAGGAAGTAGCTATAAAATTATTACAGTAGCACAATACATACTAGAGTTACTTTTATGCAGTTATAATTTAATGCAGAGTTTTTACCTCTGTTTAAATTTCTCTTGTCTGAGAATGGTGCCAAGTACAGTCGGTAAGTGTTTGTGTGCATAAGTTTTGATGAATTTTAACTTTTAATGATAGATTTGTATATGTTTCATTGTAGTAAATCATGAAATAGACTGGAATCTACATATATTTTATGGATTAATAACTACCTTTTTTTAATAATTTACGTTACATTGTTCAACTGTGAGTTTTTTCCAATTTTTGCAAATCTTCAAAAACTTTTCAAATATATTTATTGAAAAAACTCCATGCGTAAATGGACCCATACAGTTCAAACTCATGTTGTTCAAAGTCAACTGTATTATATACTTTACTCTTACAATAAAGTAAGCTAATAAGAGAAAATGTTATTAAGAAAATCATAAGGAAGAAAAAATATATTTACTAGTCATTAAATAGAAATGTACCATCATAAAGATCTCCATCCTTATCATCCTCACATTTAGAAGGCTGATAAGGAGAAGCAAGAGAAGGGGTTGGTCTTGCTTTGTCAGGGGTGGCAAAGACAGAAGAAAATTTATGTGTAATTGGAACCATGCAGTTCAATCCTGTATTTTTCCAGGGTCAATTATTTATTTTATTTGGGTGTTACAGCTTATTAATAAACTGAAGACATACAATTAGCACAATGAGTTTAAAGACATCTGCATGTAACTCACTATTAATTTTGTTTAGTTCTTTAATTTAATTTTTAAATTTAAATATATAGTTTCTAGAGCATTATCTAATTATTACTAGTTACAGCAATTAGCAGAGTATCACGAATTAGAAAATCAGACTTTATAGATGCAGTTAAATAATGCAGTTTATATAATGCAGAACTTTGCATTCAAACGGAGTATCAGGCATACATGTAAAATTAAGATGAAGGTGAAAGGGAGTTTTATTAAGACATTTATCTCCCTAAGAAAGGCAAAATCTTGGCCTTGGCAGGTTCTCAAATTTTTATTAAGGGACTATAAAATGTGGACAAGATTTTATGTTGTCAAAATATCAATTTTAATGCTTTGCATGGAAGTTCCGCTGTAAAGCTTAAATTTGAATTGCATGATCTACTATCAAATTATGTAAAAAGAGCTAGATATCCTTCAGGTGTATCTGACCCTTACGTTTGATAAATATCTCCCCAAATTTTAATGTAGTTATTTATTTTGGAGGGCATACAATAAAATTTCAATCATTTTTGTGTCCTTATGCTTGTCTGCAAAGACAATTTATTTATTGCTATCATATTATTAAATTATAGCAATTACTTTGATTTATTTTGTTATTAAACTTTGAATTGCAACCATTTATACTTTTAGAATCATTTTCTAAAAATGGGTAAATCTTGTTGTAAAATAGCATTTACATAGGGCGAAAAACAAACAAGCTTTTATTTGTTGAAATTAAAATATAAAAGCTATAAATTTACCATGTGACTGTATATTTGTCTTATTTTAAATTTATTCCCATTAGTTTGTTAGTTTTGTGAAGTGCTGGTTTTGTTCCATACTCTGTGTGTGTTATGCCCAGGTAATCAATTCTATCTTAAAGAATATATGTTCAAGGAAGGGTAGAGTCATGAATAATGGAGATAATATTGAAAATATTAAACCCTAGGATTTTGATTTTCATCTTTCTCCCATATCTTATTTATTTCTTTTTCTTTTTAGCAACAATTTTATCATTTGAGGTGTAGAAAAAGTAGAAGAGTAGATGTTAACTCCTGAAAAAGAAAGATAAGGGACAACCTTTACGGGAAGGGATAGTGAAAGAAGCCATTTTCTTGAGCAGTAGGGGTAAAAAGGAAGAGAGGAGGTCAAGGGTTACGGAAGCAACCAGTGAGATAGATACATATCCTTCCACTCCTGTAATCTACAAAGCACATTTTTTAAAAATTTAAAAAACAGAAACAAAACAACAGCACAAAACAAATCCCTTCAGCTGGTTAGCTATGCACCCTTAACCATTAGCATTCTGATGAAATTGGCAAAAAAGCTTGCAATGTTGGTTGGATAAGCCTCGGTATGTTCCTCTTCTTTCCTAGTCTTCCCTGAATGTTATTTTTATTTTACAAATATTAAAACAAAAACCAAAGATAACTCTTAGGCTTTCTCTTTATTTTTAATCACTTGCTTCTTAGCTTCTCCCCATTCACCTTGGGATAACTCCTGTTCTAATAACTGAAGAAATTTCTCCCAGTCTCCTAAATCCTCTCTCTGGTTTTGAAGTCCCAAAGTTGGGTAGGAAGGTGTTTTGGTCTATCTACCAAATAGTGCCATTAGTATTCATTATAATTCAATCTCTTGTTCCTTCTTAATCCGGAATGAAATACTGGAACTTTGTTTGAATGAGAGAGTTAAGTACAAGGATTTTTAAAGAAGAGGTTGTGAGTTCAAGTACAGACTCACGGGATATGAATATATGTTATCATAGTTAGCACTCCCAAGCCCAAAGTAAATGTATATTTATCCTTTCTCAAATATTTGGTTGCACTTTCTGAAATGTTTATATAGTTATACCTATAAAAAATCAGGGTAACTTACTTGAGAGTAACTAAAATGATTTCTAATTATATTCCTGTTTAGCTTGAATGTTAAAATGTCACAGTCAATTCTATTCAAGATAAAAGAAAATTGAGAGAGTCATTACCATTTTGAAAAAAGACCAGGACATAGATTTATAGCAGAAAAGAAAACCATTAAGTAGATGAGATCAATAGATGTCAAGCGCATGAGGGATTCTTGTGACACCTTAAGAAAACAAGAGCCTTTAACTATAGACATAAGGATTTATAAATGTAATCTAAAAGGCTCCTCATTTAATTGACAAAGAAAATCTAAAAGCCTGGGAAGAGATAAGTATTAGATCATGAATTGCAAAATGCCATATGCTATCTTAAAAAGTGTCTAATTCATAAGTATATTCTTGATTAAACTGAAATTGAATGTCTCTCCAAAAATAGATTATGGTTGTCTTGAAAACTTTCTTCAATTACTTATTCCCTATATAATGTCAGAAAACAATTGCATATTCAATTCCATTTGGGACTATGTATAAGTTTATATAATATATCCTCGTAATTAAATTCTTGAAGTAATCTTTAAATATTGACTTAATATTTCTTCCTGATTTTCAGCCGATTTAAATTTGCCTACATGATGCCAGTCCTTTCACCTTTGACTTTGTTTTAAAGTCATTAATTTCTAGTGTGATTAGTTTTAAGAAAACTTAATAATATGATCCATTGAATATTAACTAATGTATTCACCCTCTCTAACTTCAATGTCCTAATTAATAAAATGAGGGAGGTGATCTAGATTATACTTAAAATTCCTTCTGTTCCTAAGATTATTAAAGTTCATGAAATGTGCTTGTTTTGAAAAGTTATAAATCAGCAAGGAATTGATTAGATCCTTTTTTCCAGCTCTCTCAATATTCATTGAAAATTAGACCTTAAAAATTATAAAATTTTTAAAACATGAGACGTGTTTTGAAATAATTTTCAGTTTATATTTTACAGAGGTAATAAGAGTACTTTAATAGAATAATAATAATTTATAAAATGAACTGATACAAAGAAGGATGTTCTCAAATGCTGGTTTATTAAATATGATACAAAATAAATAGTAAGCAAAGAGGCAAATTCCCTATTCCACTCTAATATTGCTGTTAGAGTGAGCTTGTATAGGGAAAAGGAAATTGATCAATGAAGATTGCTCTTGTGGTCATTTGGAGACCTTGAACTGTACAAAGACAGATTCTCAGGCATATAGATTGAAAGATTTCAGATAGTATGTATCTCATAATTGGATATGTTCATATGTGCGTGTTTACATTGATGAGTTTCACTTGTGACTCATACACCAGTAAATGATAGAAGGGTAATTGTGTAAATTGGATCTTGACTCAATTTATTTCTCTCACTCTACTCATTTCTTTTTTTAAAAAAATTTGGGGCCGGGCGCGGTGGCTCACGCCTGTAATCCCAGCACTTTGGGAGGCCAAGATGGGTGGATCACACGGTCAGGAGATCGAGTCCATCCTGGCTAACACGGTGAAACCCCATCTCTACTTAAAAAAATACAAAAATTAGCCTGGCGTGGTGGCAGGCGCCTGTAGTCCCAGCTACTCGGGAGGCTGAGGCAGGAGAGTGGCGTGAACCCGGGAGGCGGAGCTTGTAGTGAGCCGAGACTGCGCCACTGCACTACAGCCTGGGTGACAGAGCAAGACTCCGTCTCAAAAAAAAAAAAAATAGTTTGTATTTTCTCCCATCCCCTCACCTTTACTGATGCATAATTGACAAACAAATATTATATATATTTAAGGTGTATTTCATAATAATTTCATGTATGTGTTTGTTGTGAAGTGATTATCACAATCAAATTAATTAACACTTCAACAACTCACATAGTTACCATTTTTTTCTTGTGTTGTAGAGACAGTAAATACCTACTCTCAGCAAATTTCAGGTTACAATAGAGTTTCATTAACTATAGTCACCATGTTGTACATTAAATCCTCAGAACTTATTTATCATGTAACAGAAAGTTGCATCCTTTGACAAACATCTATCCATTTTCTCCATCCCACAATCTTTGATCACCACCATTCTATTCTCTGCTTCTATGAGTCTGACATTTTTAGATTCCACATATAACTGAGATAATGTGGTATTTGTCTTTCTGTGCTTGGTTTATTTCACTTAGCATAAAGTCCTCCTGTTCATCGATGTTGTTACAAATGACATGATTCTCTTCTTTTTTATGGCTGAGTGATATACTATTTTGTGTGTGTGTGTGTGTGTGTGTGTGTGTGTGTGTGTGTAACATTTTCTTTATCCATTCATCCATTGATGGACACTTAGATTAATGCCATATCTTGGCTACTGTGAATAATGTTACAGTAAATATGGGAGTGCAATTATCTCTTTGAGATTCTGTTTTCAATTCATTTGGATAAATATCCAGAAGTAGGATTGCTAAATCATTTAGCAGTTCTATTTCTAAATTTTGAGAAAGTCCTATATTGTTTTTCATAGTGTCTAGTTATTTTTCACATTAAGTATGCATTTTACAATTCTTATTTATTTCATATTTTTCTACCACAATTTTAGTTATATGTATAGTTTGAAAATCTTCCAGTTTTATGTCTCTTGTCATTTCAGTGATAACACACTTTATTTCACAGGTCATGCAAAGGATGACTGTCTGATTGAGTAGCAATTGCTGCTAGATAATTTTAAGTTTTTTTTTTATCTATGTGTACCTTTAATTTTTTAAAATATATTATCCCACTTGCTTCTATGTGGTTTAATTTTAAAGACACATTTATTTCTCAAATAAAAATCTACTTGGTAGTCCATTTCTTAATTTCAGAAATTCTATCTAAATTTTTTTAAATGGTCTGTTAAATGATTTTTAAGCCACTAAGTGATTAAGTAAAATACTAAACAATCTGAGCCAAAACAAGTGTAGAATACTTTTATTTATAACTTCAGGCAGAAATTGATCTATTGACAAGTACATTCTCCAAATAGTACTTGAGTTCGTAATGGCCATATATAAGAACTTTATAATATAAAGAGAAATGTCTCTGTTTTTGATGAAATATTTTTAAGAGACTGATCATGGCTCAGACCTCTCCTTCCAATGGGTAATTCTGATCAGAGTAAGATTTAATTGATAGGCATGTATTTTGAAGAGCTGATATTCATTATTGATGTATCCTGCATTTGTAAACTTTCCTACTTGCTAAAAGTGAATTCTAACCCTAATATTAATAATTAGGACACTTCAAAATCATTCACAGACATTCACAGAGCTGCCAAAAATTTGAATTACTTAACATGAATCTTCATAGTTCAGGTAGAACAATGTGGCATTCTGACTTCTGGTTCAAGTCCCATGCTGTATACAAGTGGTTCTTTATGGTTCATGTAGTTTCCCACTATGCACGTTGTTCTTTTGTTGGTTATTTCACTCTTCACAATGACCATCCAGCATGGTGTTGAAGAGATGTCTAATGTTTCTAAGATATCTCACAAGAATGCTGTGAGATATCTTATGGCAAATAAAAGTTTGCTAGGTAACATTTGTTCAGGCATGACTTATGCTGTGTTTCAGTTCAGTATTATGAACCAACAATAGAAAACATTCATAAAAGGGAAAAGTTGTCAATCTGTACGTGAGGCTGTTCTGTAAAGTCTGAAGTCACATGTATAATATGTTTTGAAGCTATGTAAAAACTGAAGAAATGGCTACATTTGTGGATTCATGAGAATGATAACCTTTTTTTTTTTTTTTAAGTATAGTAAGACCAAAATCCAAAGACATTTGTAGTAATGAGACCTGGAGTCACGAAAAAATGTTGAACACTTTTGAAAGCTGGCTGGCTCACACATCTAGAAAGGGAATAGGGCACAAAAAAAAAGTTAAACTTGCAGGTGCAGATAAGTAGGCTGGGGAGGAATTTTAAAATACCTGCTAAGTGCTATACAGGAAAAATGTATGGAACAGCAGGTTTTCCACACTGATGAGACTGGCTTGTTTTAAAAACATATTGGCAATCAAACATATCCTAATGCAAATAACATTTTGTTTGACAAAATGTGACCAGAGGCTTGCAGGGGCCTAATCTTGTATTTTCTCAAGATGCAACAGCTCAGTATTCACAAATCCAGTGTTTGTAGCGATTTTATAAAACATAATTCCTGCAAATAATGAGAATTAGCTACACGTAGCATTACTTTATTCCATAGTAATGAGTAGTAGCCTTTTAATATAAATATCTACTATTGCTCTTGGATAAGTATTTTCTCGTATTTATTAATATATCAGAGACATAATAAGGATATAAATGCACTAGACTTTGAATGACATATATAAAAATTTAAAATATAATAATACATGTATCTTAGATTGCCATAAAATCAAGATTGTACATGTCTTCCCAAAGCAGACATCTCTTATTACTATTTCAGGTAGAATTTCTATAAAAAATTAATGTAGCAATTGATTTTGGAAAGTATATTTGTTATATATATATATAGAAAGTATATATATATGTTATCGCATCTTTGAATCATTAATTGGATAAAGATTGTGGGGATTTACTTAACATTATTTAACCAGATTTTCAAACATACGACCAAGAAAACTGTTTTGAAACAACATCTACCAAAGAGCAGTAGAAGTCATGTATGTAAAAAAGGAGCAAATCAAAACAATTTTGGGAAAAACAGATTCAATTTTCTTTAACATATAAATTGAGGCATTTGAAACCCTCTTGTTAAATTATCCATTGCATAATGATTTCTTCATACTGATTATCAATGTATTCTAATTAGTTTTAAGTAAATATTTTTCTCTGTATAAGTTACCAAAGCAAACATTTTGTTTATTTTGGGTTTTTAACTTCTGTGTAGAATTTTTAAATTTTTATTTTAATTTTCTCTATGCATAATTATTTTTCAAGTCTTCAGATCGTATAACATTTGTATTTGTATTCTAAAATTATTTCCAGTTATTAGCTATTTAGTTATTAAAGAAATCAGCACTCTAGTTATTAAAGAAATCAGCACAGTAGTACTGTGGGTAGAAGCCTTATTCAGTTATATATTATAATGCTTGCTATACAATTACAATAAAGAAACCAATAATGAAATTTCAAATTCTTAATCTAGTGGATATTTTATGCTATTTTCTATTCTAATGCTAAATGTGGCTCTGCTGAATAGATATATAATATATTCCCTAAGAGTTTAAGCATTTGGCTAATCCAGCTATCTGTTTCAGTTTTATGTTTTAAATTGATGCATTGTCCTTTTGACATGAGTGAATTAAAATATGCCATTCAAACGCTTGTCTAGAGTTCAAGCTATAATTATGATCAGCATTAAATGTTTCATACATGTGATGACTTTACATTTGAAATATGCTTTATTTTCCATATTTGTTGGCTATGATATCTATAGGATTTTTTGGAGATGTATTTATGATTATCTCAATTTGGGCAATGAAATAAAGCAATCAAATGACAGCATGAAAGTAATGTCAAACGATGAAAATTCAACAGATGAATGCTAATTTCTTTTTTAAAGTATTCGTAAACTTTATTTTCATAGAGCAGTTTTATTGAAAACAAAAATTGAAAGGTAAAGAGATAGCCCATTTACCCTGTGCTTCTCATGAGCACATTCCCTCATTAATAACACACCCCACATAGTGGCACATTTGTTGTAATTGAAGAACCTACATTGACAAATCATTATCACCCAAAGTTCATAGTTTACATTACGGTTCATTCTTGGTGTTGCACACTCTGTGGGTTTGGAGAAATGAATAATGATATGTATCATCCATGATAATATCACATAGAATGTTTTACATATCATAAAAATAGTCTGTGCTCTGCCTATTCCCCCTTGCCACAATTCCTGGCAAACATTGATTTTTTTTTTTTTTTTTTTTTTTACCATCTTTGAAGTTTTGTCTTTTCCAGAATGTCATATAGTTTAAATAATACAGCATTCAGCCTTTTTCAGATTAGCTACTTTCACTTAGTACTATGTATTTAAGGTTTCTCCATGTCTTTTCATGGTTTGATAGCTTATTTATTTTTAGCACTGAATGATATTCCATTGTCTAGATGTACTAGAGTTTATTCATTCACCTACTAAAAGAGATCTTGTTTGCTTCCAAGTTTTAGCAGTTATGAATAAGGCTGCATAACAATCTGTGAGAATAATTTTTATGTAAAAATTTTCAACTTCTTTGGGTAAATATTGTGGGGTATAATTGATGTATTGTATGGTAAGAATATGTTTGGTTTTGTAAGAAATTGCAAAACTGTGTTTCTAAAGTGGCTGTATCATTTTACAACCCCAACAGCAATAAGTGAGAATTCCTGGTGCTCCACATCCTTGCCAGCATCTGGAGTTCTCAGTGTTTTAAATTTTGCCCATTCTAATTGGTGTGTAAATGGTATCTCATTCTTGGTTAGATTCTCATTTCCTTGATGACATATGATATGAAGCAACATTTTGTATGCTTATTCAATATTTGTAAATCTTTGGTGAACTGTCTGTTAGTGTTCTGGGCCCATTTTTTTAATCAGGTTTTTTTTGTTGTTGTTGTTTTCTTTTTGTTTAGTATTAAGAGTTCTTTGTATATTTTGAATAAGAGCCCTTCATGTGTCTTTTGCAAATACATTCTCCAAGTCTGTGGCTTTTTTTTCTCATTCTAGTTATTAATTTTCTCAGAGAAGTTTTTAATTTCAATAAAGTCCTGCTTATCAATTATTTCTTTCATTGATCAAACTTTTGTTGTATTTTAAATGGTCATTGTTGTACCCAAGGTCAACACATTTTTCTCCTTTATAATATTCTAAGAGTTTTGAAGTTTTATATTTTACATTTAGATCTATGATTCATTTTGAGTAAATCCTGGGTAGGCAAAAATAACAAATGTCCACTTCACCTAGACAAAGGAATATGGCCCAAGTTACTCAATAATTAAATCATCTAAAATTTTAAATGCTAAGCAGAGTAATTCAGAATCAAGAGGAAAACTGTTCAATAAAAAAACTATAAAAAATACTAGAGAACAATACATTTTGCCTGAAACAGAAGCTACACTAGTTTCTAAACTATTTCTAAAATTTATTAACCTGTTCCCAGAAAATGTTGTGTGCAGCCGCTGGGTAACTCTCACAATACATTGTTTTTTGCTTAACTACACATAGTTTATTTTGGTGTCTATAACTCAATAACTAATTAATTATTTTGTGATATGCTGCCTGATATGGTTAGGCTTTTTGCCCCCATTCAAATCTCATCTTGAAATGTAATTCCCAGGTGTTTATGGAGAGAGCTGGTGGGAAGTGACTGGATTATCGGGGCAGTTTTCCCCCACGCTGTTCTCATGATAGTGAATGAATTCTCAGGAGATTTGATGGTTTCATAAATAGTAGTTTTTCCTGCTTTCTCTCACCCCCACCATGTAAGACATGCCTCTTCCCCTTCTGCCATAATTCTAAGTTTCCTGAGGCCTCCCCAGTCATGTGGAACTGTGAGTCAATTAAACCTCTTTTCTTCATAAACTACTCAGTCTTGGGCAGTTTTTTATAGCAGTGTGAAAACCGACTAATACAGTAAATTGGTACCACAGAGAGTGGGGCACTGCTAAGATACTTGAAAATGTTGAAGCAACTTTGGAATTGGGTAATGGGCAGAGGTTAGAACAGTTTAGAGGGCTCAGGATAAGATAGGAAGATGGGAAAGCTTGGAACTTTCTAGAGACATATTAAATAGTTTTGACCAAAATGCTGAGAGTGATGTGAACAATGCAGTCCAGGCTGAGGTGGTCTCAGATGGAGATGAGGAACTTATTGGGAATTGGAGTAAAGGTCACTCATGCTATTCTTTAACAAAGAGACTGGTGGCATTTTTGCCCTTGCCCTAGAAATATGTGGAACGTCGACCTTGAGAGAGGTGATTTAGGGTATCTGGTGAAAGAAATTTCTAAGCAGCAAAGGATTTACCAGGTGACCTGGTTGATTTTCAAAGTCTTCAGTCTTATGCATTCACAAAGAGATGGGTTGAAACTGGAACTTATGTTTAAAAGGGAAACAGAGCATATAAGTTAGGAAAATTTGCAGCCCGACCATGTAGTAGAAAAGAAAAATGCATCTTCTGGGGAGGAATGCAAGCTAGCTGCAGAAATGTTTTTGAGTAATGTGGAGCAGAATGTTAACAGCCAAGACAATGGGAAAAATGTCTCCAGGGCATGTTAAAGACCTTCATGACAGCACTTCCCATCACAAGCCCAAAAGTCTAGGAGGCAAAAATGGTTTCTTGGGCCAGGCCCGGAGCCTCACTACTGCTCTGTGCAGCCTTGGGACTTGGCACCCTGCATCCCAGCCCTGGCTAAAAGGGGCCAGCATAGAACTCAGGCTGTTGCTTCAGAGGGTGTGAGCCCCAATCCCTGGTGGCTTCCATGTGGTGTTGTGCCTGTGGGTGCACAGAAGTCAAGAATTGAGGTTTGGGAACCTCTGCCTGGATTTCAGAGAATGTGTGAAAATGCCTAGATATCCAGGCAGAAATTTGCTGCAGGATAGAGCCCTCATGGAGAATCTCTGCTAGGACAGTGCAGAAGGAAAATGCAGGGTCAGTGTTCCCACACAGAGTCCCCACTGGGGCACTGCCTAGTGGAGCTATGAGAAGAGGGCCAGCATCCTCCAGACCCCAGAATGGTAGATTCAATAACAGCATGCACTGTGCTCCCAGAAAAGCCACATACACTCAATGCCAGACTGTGAAAGCAGCTGAGAAGGAGACTGTACCCTGCAAAGCCATAGGAGTGCAGCTGTCCAAGGCTGTGGGAGCCTACCCTTTGCATCAGCATGACCTGCATATGAGACATGGAATCAAGGGTGATTATTTTGGAACTTTCAGATTTTAATGTAACCCCTTTTCTTTGACAGACTTATTTTATTTGGAATGGGAGCATTTATCCAATTCCTGTACCATCATTGTATCTTGGAAGTAACTAACTTGTTTTTGATTTTACAGGCTCATAGGCAAAAGGGACTTGTCTTGTCTCAGATGAGACATTGGACTTTGAAATTAATGCTGAAGCTAGTTGACATGGGAGGAATTTTGGGAAGGCATGATTGATTTTGAAATGTGAGGACATGAGGTTTGGAGGGGCCAGGAGTGGAATGATATGGTTATGCTTTGTTTCCCCACCCAAAACTCAACTTGAATTGTAATGCCCAAGGGTTTAGGAAGAGACCTGGTGGGAAGAGACTGGATTATGGGGGCAGTTTCCCCCATCCCGTTCTCATGATAGTAAGTGAATTCTCACAAGATGTAATGGTTTTATAAATCATAGTTTTTCCTGTGTTTGTACTTGCTGTCACTTGCCTGCTGCCATGAAAAACATGACTCTTCCTCTTCTGCCATGATTGTATGTTTCCTTAGGCATCCCCAACCATGCAGAACTGTGATTCAATTAAACCTCTTTTCCTTATAAATTACCCACTCTTGGGTAGTTCTTTATAACTATATGAGAATGAACTAATACACTCCCTTATCCTTTACTTGTTAATTTATAATACTTATTTTGATCTTGCTTTATGCTAGATTTTTCTAAGATGTTTGGGCTATGATGTGGACAAATCATTTTAAACAAAGATAAATATTTATTTCCATGAGAAATCTCAGAGTCTTAGAAAAGGTTGTTTGTATGTACATCTTTAAAATATACCTATCTCATATTACACAAAATGAGTAATTTTACTTTTTGGCTGTGGAAAACCTATTCATCTTTTAGAATTCCAGAACACACCAGAATAAATCTTGGACAAAGATGTCTAAACAAAAATATGCTAATGTGTAGATGAGATCTGATGCATTCAGGGTGGAATAGCCATAGACAGAGGTGCTAATGTTTCAAATGAGATCTTAATTATTATTTTAGTGTTCTGTTTTAAAATGACTATAGAGACAGATTTCTTACTATTGATTCACATCCAGATGCAAGTAATAATTCTATACTGGCATATTCTTTCAAAGGAAGAAATACATCCTTTTTGGAAACAAAAAATCTGATGAAGCCTGACAGATCTACAGTTTGGTTGAACAAAAACCTCGATTTTTGGTTTTTCTACTAAAGAAACTTTATAATGTAAAATAAGACAACAAAGAAAATGACAAGTCTTCCTATGCTGTACCACTCCTATGTTCATGCATTTTATTTTCATAGATAAAGATGGCCTTAAAGAGTATAGATAACAATTTAAAATGTGGAGAATTAAAATTTACCCAATAGCTTTTTGCTGTATATAAATCTTTAATATTTTAAAAATTATTCTAAATAAACTTGTAGAGAACATCTGTATACTTATGTTAATGTACAGTGGTCAAAATTGGAATCTATAATAACGTGCCATTTTCTATAATTCTTTTAAGTGTTTTAATTAGTTTATACATAATACATTCTATGTACACAATTCTCCTTTTAAGTTTGTTAATGTTTATAATACCTGATTTTAAATGTGACATTTAAAGCCTTTGAGTATTTGTGTTCTCTCCTAAATTGGCAACATCTTCCGGAATTGTTTTGTTTATGAGAGCACAGCATATGTTTAATTTTCTCCCAGTATGTTATGTAAACCAGAAGCAAACGTCTATGAGTACCGCTATTTAATTATTGTAATATTTATACTAACTTTTTGCTTTTGAATGCACTGGATGACTTAAAATATTTTTCTAATAAAACTTTATAATAATAAAATAATTTAATAAGTTTTGCTCCATACTATTCAATTCAAGTAAAAGAATTGAGAAAAGTAAGACGAAACCTTGGATTACTATTTTGCTGCTCTCCTTAGTTAACATAATGCCTTAGTTGTAATTACAAGGACCAAAATTTTATTATATAAAAGATATTCCCTTAAAACAATTAAGCTGAGAATGAAACTATTTATTAACAAAATAAAATATTAAAATATTAATTTTTTTCAAGATGGCAGATTAGATGCTTTCCATGTGCCTCAGCCTCTTGGAAATAACAAGATAGCACATAAAAATCCTCTCTGTGAAGTTTAATTTGAGAAGGAAAATGGGAATCAACCAGAATTGTGAAGGGTTCCCCAGATCCCAGAGAGAATGTTAACAAACAGCCCCAGTAATGGCATCTGGCTGATAAAAGTGAATAAAGCTTTAGTATGTGAGCAAGGCTAAGAGCCTCCCTCCGTGACTATGATGGTTAATATTGAGTGTCAACTTGATTGGATTGAAGGATGCAAAGTATTATTCCTGGTTGCATCTGTGAGGGTGTTGCCAAAGGAGATTAACATTTGAGTCAGTGGACTGAGAGAGGCAGACCCACCCTCAATCTTGATGGGTACCATCTAATCAGCTGCCAATATGGCTAGGATAAAAGCAGACAGAGGAATGTGGAAAGAGTAGACTGGCTGATTCTTTTGGCCTTCATCTTTCTTCTGTGCTGGGTTCTTCCTGCCTTTGAACATCAGAGTTCAAGTTCTTCAGCTTTTGAACTCTTAAAATTATACCAGTGGTTTGCCAGGGGCTCTCAGGCCTTTGGCCGAAGACTGAAAGCTGCACTGTTGGCTTCCCTATTTTTGAGGTTTTGGGACTAGGGTTGTCCTCTTTGTTCCTCAGCTTGCAGATGGCCTATTGTAGGACTTCACCTTTGTGATTGTGTGAGTCAATACTCCTTAATAAACTCCCTTTCATATATACATCTATCCTATTAGTCTTGTCCCTCTAGAGAACCTGACTAATAAAAGAACTCACCTTTTCACTGAGCATCTGAGCAACCCAGGCCGGGGGAGAGCAGTTTGTTTATCCCAAGCCCAGGAACTAAGCAGAGAAGAGGCTTTGAGACACTGTGATGAAAATAAACCTGCAGCAAATTCAAACATTTTGCTAGACCCAGGACTGAGAGCAGGATATCATTTTAATTCCAAATGCATGTAAGTTCAGTCATTCCTTTGCAATCCCGAGTTTGGAGTGCTTGCTCTGGAGAGGGTTATAGGACTCTGCAGGCAGAACTGTGGAAACCACCTCAGCAACAGGGGCTGGAATTGCGCTTTCCTCCTTCACAAGCGTAGGGCAGAAGAAGAGCTCCTACAAGTATAGTTTCTCCTGTGGTGAGATGTGCAGCCATGGCCAGCTTGGTAACCTGGAACTGATCTGTATGTGACTTTCCTGGGTGCCAAATTCTGCTCCCTTGAAATCTTGATGCAGTGAGGCCTTCTCTGTTCCACCCCGAGGCAGACATCCAGGCACTCAGAGCAACCATTTACCTGATTCAGCAGCCTGAGCTGCCCAACCTTTCCTGGACATAGACTGATACAGCCAGACTGTCTCTGCTCCACACCCAGGCAGATCTCCAGGCATTTGGAGCACCTGTTTGCCTGGTACAACAACTTGAGTCACTCCAGCCCTCCTTTGCAGAGACCTTGTTGGGGGAGCCCTCTCTGCTCTATGCTCAGGCAGACCTCCAGCATTTGGAGCACTGCTTACCTGGATCAGAAGCCTGAGTCATTCCACTCTTCCTGTGCTGAGATCCTGGTGCAGAAGGGCCCTCTCTGCTACATGTCCAAGCAGATCTCCAGGCATTCGGAGAACCTGCTTGCCTGGTTCAGCAGTCTCAGTTACCCCACTTCCCCTTTGCAGATATCTTGGTGCAGGAGGATCCTCTCTACTAAATGCCCAGGCAGATCTCCAGGCTTCTGGAGAACCCATTCTCTTAAATTAGAAGTTTAGGTCACCTCTATCCCTGTGCAGAGAACTTAGAGCTGAGGTTTCCCAGCTCCACACCTAGGCAAGTATCTGGGGGCTTGGTGGCGCATGCTGGATTCTCCCTTGCTGCTGGTGCCTGTGCCTGCCATCCTGGACATGTAGGTGGAGCTGCCCAATTAGGCACCGCCCTTCATGGCCCCACATAGCCTGGGACTTAGCAGGGAGCTCAGACCACTGTGTGTTCCATGAAGAAGCCCATTACCTGAGGCAACTGAGAGGTTTTGCTAGTTAAAAAGGATGAAGTTTATAACCAGCCACATTGGCTGGAACAGTCCCCTACCAATTAAATGCCATCTACTGGCTTGTAGGTCAAACTGCAGTCAAATATAAAACC